>NC_000004.12:156194108-156497138 GCF_000001405.40 Homo sapiens | reverse complement strand
ACCAATAAAACCCTGAAAAGTGTGTGTGACGAGGGAGACAATATTTTTTGAAATAGTCCTGAAACAAGAGAACTAGTAGTATTTGAAGAGGTAGCCAGGAAAAACATAACTGGGTCAGTTTAGGTCAGCCAGATCTCTGGTTTTGGAATTAAAGCATTGTGGAGTCATTTTTGAACCATTCATTGTGGGTTCCAGCAAGTTTTCATCAAATTCATGGCACGAATTTGGCTCTATGAATAGCTTTTTTGGATCTCGTAAAAATATATTTGTGGATTTCTAAGTTGCAATGGAATTCAATAAACCAAAATTTAATAAGTGCAGCAGTGATGGGGAAAGTTTGCTCAGGATAATATCACACCAGAATATTCTACTGGCCTCAAAGACCAGAACAAAACTGCTTCCCTCTAACTCTGGCAACAGAGGCAGCTGTACCTTCCTCCTTTTCCAACTATCGTTTCTTTTCTTCATTTACCATAGCTCTTATTAGCATCACCTTCTCCCATGCATGTTTCTTTCTTCTCTTTGTTTCTTTTCTATGGTTCATGTGTATTGACAAACAAAAGTGTAAGTGACAGCTTATTGATCTTAAAATGGTTAAAAGAAGAAGACTGTACTATTTATTCATCCTTGTCCATCCTTTTCACACCCTATATTTCTTGTAATAGAAGAATGAGATTGGAAATAGAAGGTTGTAGAAATAGTCAAGGTTTCTGGGTAGAATGATGTAAGATAAAGACACCTCATAATCAATGCTAACAATTGCTAATTATTATTTGATTGCCAAATTGCTATAAGGTATAAGTAGAAAAGTACTACACAACTCAAGAAAGTTATTTTCTACTTGGGGTATCAACTTTAACACCTTTGAAAAAAATAATTGAAAATAAGTGCTGGAAATTTCCAAATTTGTATGAATTTCTTGCTATTTTTGTTAATAACAGGAGTGGGATCAATGTAGAAGTCTTTTTTTGCTTGGTGAAAGAAGAAAGTCGCTAGTATTTTCACAGGTAAAGTCCTCAGGGCAAATTATATGTTTATTAACTTGCTTCCTGTTGTGACAAGGTGGGATCACATGGAATTGCAACAGACTGTGGCAAAGTTGGACCTGGCTACTATAAAAACCTCAGTCTTTCTGTTTCCCACAGTTGAGAAGGAAAAGGTAAACATTATTTCCAATAAATGCCTTTTGTTTTAGAAGTAGAGTTATGTCACCAGTGAGAGAAAAAAAAGGATAGATCTACTAGTACTTCTCATTTTGTATCTGTGAACAGGAAGTATGTGTCTTATGTTATTTCATACATAAAAAAATGCTTCATGCCCAAATGAAGTATAAATGCTAACATTTTAGCAGCATTCAAAAACACTTATTGGTAGATTAGTGTTGCCAAAATTGCTGCTGTTGAACACTCACATTTAGCAAGGATAGGGCAGAAAGATAGTTATGTAAGTCTTCCTTTCAGAACCATTTAGAGATAACTAGCCTATCTTCTGATTGTCTCACAAATTCTTGCTACATTAAAAGGAAGATTTTCATATAGTATATGGAGATACAGAAATTGTTGCACTTAAACTTTCAAGACAATGATACTGCACTTGCAGACTGAAAGGTATTTACCACTTCTTAATGCATGTAATGTTTCTACACTGTGCAGGTAAATAGTGGATAAGTAGCATGTTCTAGGTGGCATTTTAGAAATGAAATCACATTTATGGGTTATATCATCAAAGGGAGTTCCTTACAAATGAGGCACATAGGAGAAATGATGCAGACTGAAAAGCATTTCAGAGTAAGTTCTCTTTTCAGAGGAAAGCCAATTAAGAATACTGTGTGTCAAAATGAATGAAAGTGGAAACTGTTACTCAAAGATACTGTTTGATGACTGTCCCAGGGTACACAGTGGCTACAAGAGAAAACATAAAAGAGTAAATTCAATAGTGGTCAAGCTAAAAACTTGTACTAAAAAGACATCTGCCTGCCAAATCACAGAATACTAACTGGTTCACAAAACTCTCCTGGGAAACACAGTGGTTTACTTGTAAAGGAAAAAACTAGGTGAATTCATCTTCTCTAAGTTATGCATTGAATATAAACAAATATCTTATAGAAGAAATGTTTCTTTCCTGTTAATGATTGTTACTTTTTAAATATATTTATAGATCATATCATAGAATCTTTTAGACATGTGAATCTATTTAGGTAATATTTTAAACTTTGTTTCCCTTAAAATTACCAGAGGAAAAAGCAGGTATTGTATGCCAGTATGTGCTTAAGCTTGTTGTGATTGCCAACTTTGGGATTCACAAATATTTTAAAACATTGTGTTCATGAGGAAGGTTGAAAAATAAAACTATTTGATGTAGTCTATTTTTTAATGGTAGGTTTTCGTAAAATGAAACACACACACACACACACACACACACACACACACACGCTCTTCTTTCCTAATAACACAGTGTGGATTTGAAATCTCTTTGAAAATAGGGACAATTTTACGTATCTCTGCACTTCTCCCACCATCTATCACAGGGGTAGGTTTTTAATAAACATTTGTGGAATGAATAAATCAGTTACATACTGCAAGCTATGGCTACAAAAGTCCAGTGTAGTGACAAATCACACTGAGTAATTTTCTTCCATTTGATTTTACTATTAATAGGAATTACACTATCTCTGCTTTACTGATGTTATATACTCAGACAAAATACAATTACCCTTTGAAACCTCAGCTTCCATAAAATGAGAAGTGTTTGGAAAGATGTAATACTTTGAAAACTGTAAAAGCAATGCCATTTTTTCCTGCTTAGGTTTAGAATGGTTTGAGGAACGTATGAATTCTGTCATAAATGACCGGTAAGTGGAGAAATTAATTTCACAGGTTTTATTGCATTGCGTTTTAATGGACTTAGTAAAGACAGAGTCAAATTAACAAGAAGGCAATTCTGTGAACGTTAATGTCTGTTTTTATCTGAGATTAGAATTACATGGAATTTGGGATGCCATTTCTTCTAGCCCAGATGAGAATCAGATAATGCAGAGCTTCTGTTAACACACTGAGTCAAAATTCCCCTGAAATGAGTTGAGAAGGCATTTGGCTGAAGAAGGAGTGTCTTTCTCTTCAGTAGTTGTGCCATGGAATCCTTGTACAAATTCCCTTCCAACAATTCAGAAATCAAACATTCATCACAGTAATAATGTTAAATGTAGGACATAATGTATCCTCGTAGCCTTGAGAGATCAGATGTGTGTGACCACACCTTTTTATAATAGTGCATAATCTGAGATAGAATGGAAAGATAATTCTTTTTACAGGTCATTTAGATATTCACTCAGTGAAGACTGTCTATTTTCAACATGTGCCTGCTTATTACAGATAGTACTTGTGTTTATGTGTGAAGAAGATGAAGTTAAGTGCTACTTGGAATTAATGACTGTCAAGAGTCCCCTTGGAAACCAACATAATCTATTTAAAAATTTCAATTTGAATAAACATTTTTGTATATCTTTGCTATTAATATATGCAATTTCAATGGAATATTTTGGTGAACTTTGCTTTTGATTTCTATTAATTGTTCTGAGGGTCACTTTAGAGATTTGCTGCCTCAATTCTGCAGATTTTTCAGTGGAAATTTGGACATGATTTTTACTAACTGGGAGAACATCTTGATGACTTTAGGTAAATAATTGTTACTAAAGAGAGATATTTCCTAGAATGATTTACTTTAGTGTTGTTTAACATTTAAGACACTATTCTCAGATTCCTGTTATTATGCTTGCTACACAGATATCATTATTCTATATTACAGTGCCTCCATTGCCAATCGTCTGATTTTTCAAGTGTAAATTTAATCATATAATCCTTTTTTTTTCTTAGTCTGTAAGTGTGACTCTCTTTTTGAGTTCAAAATTCCAAACTTCTTAGGATATCACATTCAAATCTCCCTCATCTGTTGATTTCCGCCATTCTCCTAAGATGCAAACTTCATAGCCTTTCTGAGCCACTTGCCATCCTTCAAACATAAAATTATTTTATGTTTTCATATATTAAATATATCAAACATATATATATCAAATATATCAAAACATAAAAGCCCATCTATTTGTTACAAGCAAAAACATAAATCAAATGTAATGTGTCATTAACATCTTTCCAATACAATATACTGAGTTTGGTTTTTCTATGTTTTGTGGAAACTAAAAAAAAATATAACCACTAGAATTTGTTGAGTGCTTATTGTTTTCTGTACATACAACTCAATTGGTCTTTATAATAACTCTGTGATGTTGGTGATTTTTAAATTATTCTGATTTTACAGATGAGGAAATAGAAGTACAGAATCCTTAAGTGACTTTCCCAAGGGCACACAGGACATGGACGGGAGTAAAGGAGAGACTAAACCAGAGTCTGGTTTGGGAATAGATGCTTTCTCTAGTCCAAAAGAATATTACAATATACTCCTTAGAAATATTTTGCCTAGAGAACTATATTTCTAAAAAGAATGTATAATAAATAATAATAATACAATAAAACTTACCTTTCAAAAGTTATATATGTATTAAATAAAGAAAATTAAAATATGAAATTTGGTTAGTGAGATATCTTAATAACTAAGCTATACAATTTGATTTCAATTCCTATCACACAGTAACAGATTCTAATAATGGATTTTTAAAATGATTTATTTACTCTTTTGAATGAAGCTCCTTCATTTCCAAAAACAAAACAAAAAAAAAATTGAAATAAAAATAAAAGATCCAGCACATTAATAGTAGAGAGAAAAGTAAAGAATTTGGAATAGTGTAACTCAAGAAAAGGTAAACCACTGTGTATTAGGATTATCTAGAGGGACAGAAGTAAGAAACTTAATAGTTTACTAAGTATTAACTCACATGATCACAAGGTCCCACAATAGGCTGTGTGCAAGCTGAGGAGCAAGGAGAGCCAGTCTGGGTCCCAAAACTGAAGAACTTGCAGTCTGCTGTTCGAGAGCAGGAAGCATCCAGCATGAGAGAAAGATGTAGGCTGGGAGGCTAGGCCCATCTCGTCACTTCATGTTTTTATGCCCGCTTTATATTCACTGGTAGCTGATTAGATGGTAACCATCCAGATTAAGGGTGGGTCTGGCTTTCCCAGTCAACTGACTCAAATGTTAATCTTCTTTGGCAACACCCTCACAGACACACCCAGGATCAATACTTTGCATTCTTCAGTTCAATCAAGTTGACACTCAGTATTAACCATCATGAGTCCACCTTTCATCAACTTGAATCCATATACATTTCCTGAGATCATACATAATCTTCAAATAAAGACAATAATAAGGTTTATAATTACACCTAACATAATACAACTATCCTTCCTACAACCAGAAATGCACCAATCCCCAACCCAAATACTATTACATAAAGTTAACGATACTTAAATGCTGATGTGAAGTCAATAAATCTTATGTCACATAAGGAATGGAGGAAAAGGCATTTGCCAAGTCAGTGACTGCATACCAGGTACCAGGAGATGTGTTAATTTGCTCAAGCAATGAAACCACATCTGGTACAGCAGCTACAATTGGAGTCACCACTTGGTTAAACTTACGATAATCCACTGTCATTTTCCAAGATCCATCTGTCTTCTGCACAGGCCAAATGGGAGAGTTGAACACAGGTGTGGTGTGGAATCACCACCCCTGCGTCTTTCAAGTCCTTGATGGTGGTACTTATCTCCGCAATACCTACAGGGTTGTGATATTGTTTTTGACTTACATTTTTCTAGGTAGAGGCACCTCTAATGGCTTCCATTTGGCCTTTCCCACCATAATAATCCTCATCCTACCAGTCAGGATGCCAATGTGGGGGTTCTGCCAGCTGCTAAGTATATCTATGCCAATTATGCATTCTGGCACTGGAGAAATGACCACAGGATGAGTCTGGGGACCCAATGGACCCACTGTAAGTTGGACTTGAGCTAAAACTCCATTAATTATCTGACCTCCATAAGCCCCTACTTTAACTGGAGGACCATAATGACGTTTTAGGTCCCCTGGAATCCACATTAACTCAGAGCCAGTGTCAAGTAGTCCCCGAAGCATCTGATTATTTCCCTTTCCCCAATGCACAGTTACCTTGGTAAAAGGCCAGAGGTCTCCTTGGGGAAGGATGGGAGAAAGGTTAACAGCATAAATTGTCAGTAGTGTAGTAGGGTGCTTCCTCAAGGGGACCCAGCCTCCCATTCATTCAAGGGGTGCTGGGTCTATAAACTGGCTTAAATCTGGAAATTGACTGAGGGGCTGTGATTCTCTGCTTTTATAATTCAAATGAGTCTTTTGTCTATTTGATCTAGAAGTTTTCTGCTTATATAAATTAAGTAGGAATGCAGTAGGCTTCCTATCAATTTCACATCTAGGAGCACCGTGACTAATTAGCCAATGCCGGAGCTCCACACCAGTCAGACTATTCTGATTGCTGCTTTGCTTCTGCTGTCCAGTATGGTAGCTATGCTCACCTTGCCTGTGATGGTTGAGTGCCACCACTTGGCCCCTGCCACCTTGGGATCCAATTATTTCCATTGTATTTAAATTTTGTAGTTGAGTGACTGCAATTCCCACTGTTAGATCTGACATACAGAGAAGACCAATTACAGGGCTCTTCAAAGATGCAGGTGCTGCCCTCACAAATCTATTTCACAAGACATTGGAAAAAGGTATATCTTCTGTATCTTCCCAGATGGGGTGAATAGATCTAAAGTGACTAATCCACTCCACCATCCCAATCTCCCTAAGCATTTTGATCCCTTCCTCTACATTAAACCAAGGGAGATCAGGCATTTCTATCCCACTCAGTAGGTCATCTTTTAATCCATATTTCAGCTAACCAAGCACATAAACTATTAAAACCTTTTTTAACTCCCTGAGGTGCAACATTAAATGCAGTATCCCTACTTAGTGGGTAAAAATCAATAAATTCAGCCTGATCCAACTCTATGTTCCTTCCACCATCATCCCACACCCTTAATATCTATTCCCATGCCTTTTCTCCAGATTTCTGTTTATATAACTTAGAAAGCTCAAGCAATTCCTTTCCTCCTCTTAGGTCACACTCTTAACCTCACCTTTAGGGGCCCGCTGGGACTTTAGTCCAGTTATAGGTCTAGAAGCAAACAGGGTTGTTGTGGGTGGCTTCTGAGGAGAATCAACATTATCTTGCCAGGCACCTGCCTCAGGGGAGGCCATCACTGTTGCCTCAGGCAGCGCAGGATTTATCATCTCAGACAAAGGTGGAAAAGCTGATGGCAGCATGGATTGCGAGGGGATGTAGCCATTACTGGGGATGGGAAGCTGTTTCTTCTGGGAAAAAGGTTCATCGGAGTTTACAAACTCAGTGTCCCCAGCTTCATCAAGGTCCTTCCACACATCCCCATTCCCAGTTGCAGGGTCTCATTATTTTCCAATCAATGCCCTCACTTTAACAGTAGACAGCTGGCAAGGCTGTGCATGCACCTTTCATTGCAGGTCAGCCACTGGCATGATAAGAGCTTGTGTCTGTTTTTTCACAATATTGACTCTTTCTCTACAGGAGATAAGACTCTCACTCAGGGCAATCTTAGCAGATTTAAGGCTCAGTATCTGCTTCTGAAGCCGGGAGATAGAAGCACCGAGTTTATCATTTTCTTTCATCACTTTGTCCACTGAACGTAGGAGCAACCAACCAGCTTCTTTATGTTCCTTGGTTCTCCACATATGGTCAAAGGTATTATATATAGAGTCACTAAACTTCTTGCCTCTCATGAGCAGTGAATTAGGAATGTCAAATGCATTTATTTTGCATAACTCTCTAAACGGTTAATGCCAAGGACTATCAGAATTCTCCATACTATTAGAAGTAGAGTCCTTAGCATTTTTGGGTCTAATCATATTAAGCAGCGAACTCCAGAAACCCCAAAACCAAGGAAAGAACTCCAACCTTAATATTCTGTTCCTCTACAACCACTCCTGGTACCAAAACCTGTATTAGGGTTCTCTCAAGGTGCAGAACTAATAGGATATATATGTATATATTATATACATATATAAAATATATAATATATGATATATATAATATATCATATATATAAAATTAAGTGTTAACTTACATTGTCACAAGGTCCCACAATAGATGTCTGCAAGCTGAGGAGCAAAGAGAGCCTGTCTGAGTTCCCAAACTGAAGAACTTGGAGTCCGATGTTTAAGGGAAGGAAGCATCCAGCATGGGAGAAAGATGTAAGCTGGGCAGCTAGGCCAGTTCCATCTCTTCATATTTTTCTTCCTGCTTTATATTCTTGCCATACTGGCAGCTGATTAGATGGTGCCCACCCAGATTAAGGGTGGGTCTGGTTTTCCCAGCCCACTGGCTCAAATGTTAATCTCCTTTGGAAACACCTTCACAGACATACTCAGGATCAATACTTTGCACTCTTCAATCCAATCAAGCTGACACTCAGTATTAACCATCACACACTGTGATGAACAAAGTACTGCTTACAATTTCCTAGAAAGCAAAGTTGAAGGAGGGAAACCCTATGAGCGTGTAGACAAGGGAGGCCCATTACTTATGATTGCCCTGGGCATCATTAAGGAGCTCATTCATCTTTCTGCACTACTGTTATCAGCAAGACTTTGGGTTATGACCACAGAAACAAGTACATGAGAGGTGTACAGAATTCAACCTGATGACATTTACTGTATGTAAATGTCTACCAGACAGGGAAAATGTGAAAAGAATACTGAATATAGAATTCTGCCCACACAAATCAGGTAATAAATTTAAGAGACTATGAAAGAATGCCATATGTATACAAAGGATCCAGTGGAATAGAAGTAAAAATGTTTTTAAAGCCAGACAGGAAAACATTCAAATGCATTATGGGAGTCAAAAATTGCAATATTCAAGGAAAGGGTAAAGGTCTTAGTTACCATCTCTATCTGGCTGCAGGATTCTTAAGTAAAAGGAAGAATGAGGAAATAAGAGAAGAAAAACCAGGTAACAATGTAAAGGTCTATAACAATTTAAAGGTCATAGAGTCCCTCTTACAGATTATGTAAAGGAGCTCTATTGTTGGTAAATGTTGCAAACTGAATCAAACATCAAGTATTCAGCAGACATCACTGGCAGGTGAGCAACCTCAGTATAATTATTTCCTTGAGGAATCTTTTCATACTACAAAAGATTAGAATTAGACATATATATGTAAAGGAGAAGTAAACCAAACTTTAAAAAACCTTTCTATGTTAATTTTGGAAATAATTTGTGCATACATGTTATGCTGTTTAATGTGATTAACTGTTTAAAGGAATCTAGCATATTAGACTTGCTAACTCCAATTTAAATTTAAAATGTATTATTGATAATTTGAATATAGACTTGAGGAAGTATGCTAAAAGATTAAATGTACATTTATTAATCCTATAAAAAGCTTAAAATGTGTATAATAAGTTTGACTTTATATGTTTAGCTCATTAAATTAACAAAATAGTTTATTTGAAAAAGTTTTGTTTCTATTGGGGTAGATATAACTAAAAGTGATGCAGGATTTTTTGCTCCTTAATACAGCTAAAATCTGGGATCTTGTCTCACGACCTGGAAAAATTAGGCACACAAACACATTGAAAGGTGAACAGGGCACAGTATTAAAAGAAAGCTTTCAGCAAAAAAAGGGGGGGCCCTGCCAACAGGCTCCCATCTCATGGATTGAATACGAGGCCACACCACAAGAGCTGAAGAGGCCAGGCTCCACCCCACTGCATAATGCGCGAATTCCCAGTGGCTCCACCCCATTCTCCCAGTGCACAGGCAGGCCCTTAGTCTGAGACACTCCACATTGATTTATTTCTCTTACTGCATATGTGTAAAGGGCCGGAATTTTTCATCGTGGGCATGTTTAGGCAAGCCCCTTGCGCACAGTGACCTAGGAGGCATGTGGTTGTCTCCTGTCTCTATCAGAAGTAAGGGAATTGGCAAGTATTAATTAAAAGCCCTATTGAAATTACAATTTTATTTATTAGATTTATAAAGTGTAAAAAAAACTTTGTAATTATTTAGAATAGCTGTTTTTAATTTATATTTTTAATGATTTGAATATTCATTTTGAAAACTCCCTATTAACTCTAAGTTTGTCAAAATCACATTATTCTTGCATATAGTACAGTACATACTCTGTGACTGTTCATTGGTCAAAATAGTGACAACAGAGCAAGAGAGGGCATGTGAGATTATACAAGTGTTCTTCCAAGCAATAATTTATTTTTAAAAAGTTAAGTAATTTCACCAAGACGAAGTTTGCACACAGATATTAATATCGGAAAATTGTGCAATGGCTATAAGGCTAAAGTCCTCAGTAGCAATTTTTAAAAGATGAAGGCACAATTTTCATATGTCTTTTCTTTTATTGGACCTAAATAAAAAATAAGATTATATTATTAATTTTAGCATTGCATGGAGAATTCAAATAACATAACAAATATATTTCATGCTAGTGGTTTATGGATAACCTAAAATAATAAAAAATTAATTTTCTGATATGTATACATTAACTGGACTTTTGGGAGGAGGTCAATAGTAAATAACTAATATTGAAATCGCTACTAATGCTCAAGATGTGAAAATTCTGTATTTCAGGCAGCAAAGTTGACATTTTGTTGAAAAATTGAAGATGCTGAAACATGTTATTGACTCATTTGAGTACTAGTCAATTTTTCACAGCAGTGAGATAGGAACTTTTCTCTAGATAGGGTCAGTAAATGTTTGTTGACATAGTTTTGAATCCATTCAAATTATCAAATAATGATTTAAACACTATTATTTTCCATTTTAAAACATTAAAAAATGTTTGGAATGACCTTGAGGATTTTGAAAGTAGGAATATTCAATTGTCTTTATGTATTACAAAAGTACTTGAGTAAAATTTGTACAAGTTTTAATTTTGAACGGATTTAGCCTGCCGAAAGAAAGTTAACTCAAATGTACGCTCTCACCCCGCCAACAGACAAATTGTTTGACAAGTTGAGTTTAGTTATTTGGTATATTCCATCTACAACGACAGTCTTCCAAATTTATACCTTTTGTTTTGGGCATAGATCATAACAAATTATTTTAATTTTTTCCCGATAGTAACTATACAGTGGTTTTTGTATATTTTGTATATTTCGGACCATCACTGTGCTATGGGATTAAAACTATGGCATCAACGTAGAAGAAAATGATCATCTTATTCCAGTCTTCCTCAGTCACCTTCTTCCACAATACTTTGTGAAAACTCGGTATGCCAGACCCAGATGCAGCACAGATAAGGCTAATCACATAAACGAGAAAATAAAACCTATTCCCTCTTATCCTAGTTCCTAATGAATTGACAAAAGAAGAAAAAGCAAGAGTAACATGTGCCTCACCGCCCCCACAACACTCCTCAAGTTGAAAGCCCAGGAAAGGGTAGAATTCAGTGTGGGAAGCAACGAAAGAAGGGCTTTTAAGAATCCCACTTTACATGCAGTATTCTGTGGGCAGACCACCTCCCAGCTGCCTCACACAAACCTCAAAATAAATTCAGTGGAATTTCATTGTTAAGCTGACAGAAGACTGAAGTTTTGCTTCCTATATGATAAGAATGAAACAAAAATTCTTCTCATGCTTCTGAAGGGCATGGGGATGTTTAGAGTACGGCCAGTGGCTCTCACAAGAGGGAATCATTGAGGCAGGCCAATGTTTTCTCAAAACTAGAACACTGGGTCCAGCGGCCAATAGCAGAGAAATCATATTAAAGTCACAGACCTAAGGGATGTCTACGGGAATATCAATGGATGAAGGGGAGATAAGCCACTGGGGAAGACCATGAGATACTATCTCCATTGAGAGAAGACAGACAATAAGTTACTGTGGAACATAAGTTACACCAATGTTGTCAGCTGGAGATTCCTGCAGATTATCTGGGACAAGGCCAGTCATCCTCAGCTCAACTGTCACCAGTCTGGGGAGGATCCTTAGCTATTGGATGGTAAATACCAGCATGATCCAAAGTCTGCCTCATGGATCCATAAAACCCATATCTTCTCTGCAAGCGTAAGGTCCCTATCACAAAAAAACTGCAACCTCATATACTAAAAGGCCACTTCATGCCACCTTGAGAGACAGGATTTATCTGAAACAGAGATAAAATTGCCTAAAGGAACAGTTTTAATTTCCTGATTAGACCAAAATCCATAATTATTTATTTCCTCTTCAACTGTGAGGGAAGAGCAGATGAATTTATAAAAATTCTGTTTTTCTGAATGTATTTAATACATGAGTAAGAATTGTCTTTTTTTTTTTTTTTTTTTTTTTTTTTTTTGAGACAGAGTCTGACTCTGTCGCCCAGGCTGGAGTGCAGTGGCGCGATCTCGGCTCACTGCAAGCTCCGCCCCCTGGGTTCACGTCATTCTTCTGCCTCAGCCTCCTGAGTAGCTGGGACTACAGGAACCCACCACCACGCCTGGCTAATTTTTTGTATTTTTTAGTAAAGACGGGGTATCACCGTGTTTGCCAGGATGGTCTCGATCTCCTGACCTCGTGATCCGCCCGCCTTGGCCTTTCAAAGTGCTGGGATTACAGGCATGAGCCACCGCACCCGGCCATGAGTAAGAAATTTACCTACTATCTTTAGGAGCATTGTCTGGCATCTTTAAAAACCTCTGTGAACATATAACGAGGCCCTGTTGAAAGTGATGATTTTATTTATGAGCATATAACTGCATCCACAGCTGATTACAAACCTGTAATCTTAATTAGAGAGCCAAGGTACATTGGGTTCATGGATGCAATTCCAAGTGAAATAAAGAATGACAGAGAATCAACAGAGGAAGTAAAGAAGGGAGGACTCATGGAAAATAATTATTAACGTCCCTGCCTGGACCCTGGCATTTTTATATAAGTGAGCCAAGATTTAGCAATGGCAACTGAAGCTAGATATACAGTAGCCAGAGAGAGATTGGAAAAAAGTGTACTCTGGAGGAGGATAGACTCTAGAAACAAGCCTGAAAAAAAACTCTGTAGCTAGTAATGCATAAGACAGGACAAGCTTGAGAGGTCTCGAAAAAATAGGAGTGTAATCAAACTTTCTCATGAGGATGGACACCCATTTCTCTCTCAAGCCAAGTCTCTGAGGCCAGAGACTGGTCAGTGACTTAGGGATTCCAATAGGAATGGAGAGGAGGGCAGGGAGAAATCCTTCATACAAGGGACCAGACTGTACTTCTGGCAGCCTTTGAATAGAGCCAACGGCTCTCTCTAAGGCCTAAACCCACTCAATGTTTGCCCGTGGTCACATCTGAGCTCTCAGGGGACATCGGGCCAGGGCAGAGGAAACTGAGTCTTGAGAAGGATCACACCATCATTCAATGAGTCATGAGACTTTCAACCAGTATTCACAGTTGGCTGTTAAGCAGGATAATAAAGAGGGGAAAATATTTTGGATAAAGACATACCGCTCAACTTCTTGGAAGGAAATGGACTCCAAGGTCATAGTAAGTAGTCATTACGGGACCACACTTATTTACTAAAGGGAGCTTTTACCTGTAGGATAGTGTTCTTAAATACTGTATATTAGTGTGTGTTTCTCATTTGCACTTATGCATATTTCATATTTTTTCTAATCAAAATGAGGCATCCTTCCACTTCAGTGGGAATTTTCACTGTTACAACAGAAATGCAAAAAGAAAGAATAAGCTAATATTAATCATCACCAAAACTAGATTAATGCAGAGAAGATAAGCATATCTATTTTGAACTTAATTTCACTACCAGCTATCAAGTGCTTTGACCTCCATGTGCTGTGTAAGAGGACATGTATCCAAATTATCTAAAAATCTTTATTTGATTATTTTAAAATCAAGAAGAGGAAGGAGAAAAGCTATGACATAGTCCTGTATTACATCACTTGGACAGGAATTTGCTTTGCCAAAGGATTGATTCTCAGGATCCTGATCCTAAAATAGTGCTATGAAAAGAGTTTGAATATGCATGAGAATTGATGCCTCCATCACAATCACATTGCTGATCCTGGAGACAGCTATTGCCTAGGTATAAATCTTTGAGGATGGATTGAAAAATGTTTGGCAAACCTTAAATTTTAAGCATTTTAAGCATTTTCTCAATTCAGTGAAGCATTATACCAATGATTAACTATAGTTATTTCTGAAGTTGCTTTGCTCCTCAAAGATGGCAGTAAACTATTATTATTATTCAATGTATTAAAAAGGTTGACATGGAGATTTGAAGGAAATGTTTGGTTGGTCATTTTGGGCTGCTAAATGGATGCAGACACAGGCAGAAGGAACTACTTTGAAGCAATGGGAAGCATACATGTCTATGACTTGATTGGGTTTTCCCTTTGCCCCAGACATAATTTAAACAGCTTGGGTGGCAGATCTTAGCATGTTAGTATTTTTAAAATTACAGACTCTAATGGTGTGACCCTATATCAGAAAGGCTGTTGAAAAATATTTCTAAAGAATAATATTAAAAATTTGGGGAAAAATATCATCCATATATCACTGAATATTAAAAATCCCTGTTACTTAGCCAGATGATAATTTTCAATACTGAATAGTATGTAGCCAATAAATTAATGGATAGATTATGATAATATGGAGATCTTATAGTATAACATTAAGAGAAAATCCCAAAATTTATTAATGACTTGAAAATCATAAATATATAGTTTAAAGGAATCTTTCTAATAAGGATACTATTACATTAAATTTTTTATGTAATCCCGGTACTTTGAGAGGTCGAGGCAGGCAGATCACCTGAGGTCAGGAGTTCAAGACCAGCCTGGCCAACATGGTGAAACCGTCTCTACTAAAAGTAGAAAATTTAGTCAGGCGTGGTGGCGCGCTTCTAATCCCAGCTACTCCAGAGGCTGAGACAGGAGAAGCGATTGAACCCGGGAGACGGAGGTTGCTGTGAGGAAAGATCATGCCACTGCCCTCCAGCCTGGGCGACAGAGCAAGACTCCGTACCCCTCCCCCCCGCCAAAAAAAAGACTTTTTCTTAGTTATGTATGGGTTAATAGCTAAACCTCCACCCTCCTCTGCCACCGATGCTCCGCCCCATCCACCGGCCCCACCCACCGGCCCCAGGTGCGCACACATACAAACACCAAACCAACAACTCATGAATTAGACATGGACAGGACAACTAGAAAATATTGGGGAAAAATATAGAAGGATCCTTAATTCATATTGCTTAACAAATATCTTAAGTTTTGCTCCACTTAAAAGAAAATAAAACCAGAAATAGCTGGTTACTCAATCAGAAGACTTGTTAATTCTTTGGCACCTTAAGAAAAGACTGAATGAATGAACACTTATATTTTAACATAACATACAATATTAACAGCATGCACATTACATCTTTTACTATACCTCCATGAACAGATGATTTTTTAGTTGACAGAATACTGGTTATATTCATAAAAGAATTTAACCAAGCACACAAGCAAGGAGAAGTCAAGTTTTAATATTTCTTATGAGTTTTATACATATATATACCTCAATAAAGAGTACAGTATGCTTGCTCTCTGCTTAGCCATTCCACTTTGATGCAAATTTCTTCTATAAGCTGATCCTAATGGTGACAAAAATATGTAAAGATAAATAGTGGCAAAATAGCTAACACTACTTTCTTTTTAATTTGCATTTGTTTTAAGCTTTCAAAATGTAGTCTTTCAAGTCTAAGAAAGAGACAGGATTAAAACAGCAAGTAAAAGAAAGTGAATGATATTCTAAATATGTGGAAGTGCTAGAGTTAAAACTTTAAATTCCTGCATTCTTTTGAGAATTTTCAGCTATTATGTATATGTTTGTGGGAATAAGAGAGACTTGTATATATGAACAACACATTGTGTAGTCCCCAGATTTTTCTAGTAAGCTTACATCTAAGAAAAGAAAAAGAAGCTGTAGCACACACAAAAAATGAGATCAGTATTCTCAATGCTAATTATATAGGAATGAAGAATTCTTATGCTTCTTATATAGGAATGCTTCTTATATAGGAATGAAGAATTCTTATGCAGAAACAGTCTATGGAGCCTATGTTTCTTAGCCAAAAGCAACTTCATAGAACATGCTGTTGAAGGCCTGCTTATCCTGTCTGAAGTGGTTTTCTAGCCTGAGCAGATTCTAATATATTTCAGAAGTTTTTCAACACTGTTATTCAAGAACCCACACAAAATCATTTCGTGCTTCTTTATATTTTTTATTAGTAACAATTTCTTAGGATAATGGGCTCCTTTTTAAAAACACCATTTTTATTGCTTGTTTATCTCAAAAACCTTGTTTACATTAAGTGCTATTTTGAGATTTATGCAAAAGGTCTCTTTTTATTTGTGGGCAGTATATTTTTTTGCTTTACAGATTTTTTTTATTGGTTCTTGACCTTCACTTTTCAGCTGTAAAAGAAACTATTTTAAAATCTCTTTTTGTGTTAATCTCTCATCCCTTTTGCTTTTCATTTACTTTCCTTTGTGGGTGTGTGTGTGTGTGTGTTTGTCTATGTTAATGGTATAGAAAACACAATTATATGTAGAGCATACTGGAACACTGAACAAATTGAGGATAGTTGCCCTGGAGAAATGTACAGCTCTAAAATAGATCTAAAGTAGATTGTATAAAGCAATAAACAACCCCACTGAGATTTTTGGGGCTGTATCTTACACAGCATAACCTAGCATCTCCTGGCTGATACAGACACCTTGCTATTGCAAAGTAGATAATATCCTACTCAATCAAAAGATTTAATAGGTTAAGTACTATATATTACAATTACAAAATCAACTTAAGGACCTTGGTTAAACCCCTCCCTCACAAAGTATAATTCAGAACATTATTGAGAGCTGATATACAAATATATAACTGCTAAAATCGCAGGACTTAAAGCAAGTAAAATTCTGTCATCCTCACTTTACTTATGTGTATAATGAATGTGTATCCCACAGGGTCATCACATGAATCACACAATATGTGTAACATAATGCCTATTAAATAGGAGATCAATTAATGTTAGCAAAAAAATTAACTAACTTACTAACCAAATAAATATCTTGGAATATTTTCCATTTTTAACCATAGTAACATATTATTGAATGAAAAAATTCTTACTATATATAAATAAATATATATTTATTTATTTTTAAAATCTTGCAAAATAAATCTTAAACGAAAAAGGTCACTGTTAAGAAGATAGTTTTTTTTTTAATTTCAGAGCTTCAAAGTAAATAATGTTATAAACATGGCATTGTTTGGATCAAATACAGTAAGCTTGGTAACCTAATGTGTTGCTTTTGAAAATATATCCAACCTAACATTAAAGGCAAACTCAACAGAAGTTGGACCATTTTAAGTACTAATCTACTAGACCTTTTCAAATATATCTTCTGAAACTCCCTGTAATTATGGCTTTGTAACATGTCATTTTTCTCTTTTATTAGGAACACAACAGTATAGTTAAGTTGCATGTAATTTTTTTCTCTGAGACTGTTTTTAAAGCATGTTACTGTAAATGAATGCATAAAAGAAGAAAAGATTCAACAAGTTCTTTAAATAGAATATTCAAGTGTGAGTATATCATTATGTGTTAGAAACAAAACACATATTTTTCAAATTATAATATTTTAATATTTCCCCCCTTGACTTGCCTATGTATGTTCAAGTTAACTAGACTTAGGCTACATGCATCAGCCTTTAGAATGTGAGATTTTTAAATTTACATTTATGGAATATATTCTAGCAATATAATTCCAATTTAATTATACAGCAAAAATCTTTACTCTTGGAAAATACTTAATAATGAAAGCCAAAGGTGAAAAAAGCACATCTTCAAACAAAATTTATTGGTTTGCTAATTTCAGTTGATATATAATGGGAGAGCACTTTCTTCTTTGGTAGCAAGTCTTATTTTGATATATTCATTTCTTTTAAATAGGTCAAAATATAGTAGTTAAAATAAGCAATGAAATGAATAATATGAAATTTTTTTCCTATTCTGCTTTTGTTTATATTGAATAAAATATATTGCTATTCAAGAAAACCTGGAACTATTCTGAGTATTGTCTTTGTATTAGGCTCTTATTGCTGCTGCAACAAATGACTACAGATTAGTGACTTAAAACAACACACATTTGTTTATTATCTTAGTGTTCTGGAGGACAGAAACTAAAAAGTGGCTCTCATGGGCTAAAGTTCAGGTGTTGGCAGAGCTGCATTCTTTCTGGAGAATCTAGGGGAAAATCATTTTCTCTCCTTTTCCAGCTTCTGGAAGCCGCCTCATTCGTTAGCTCCTGGCCCCATCCACCATCTTCAAAGCCAGCAGTGTAGCATCTTCCAATTTCTCTCTCTCTAACTCTGCACCCATCATCCCACTATCTAACTATACTGCCTCCCTCTCATAAGTACTCCTGTGAATACACTGGGCCCAGGATAATTATTATTCAGAATGATCTCCCCCTTTCAAGATGCTTTGATCACATTTGCAAAGTACCTTTTGACACATAAGGCAACACACTTGCAGATTCCAGGATTAGGAGATAGACATTTTTCATGGGTTGTTATTCAGTTTACCACATCGATTCTTGATTTTCCTGAAAAATCTAGATACATGAAGATGTAGGGCCTTTATCAAATAATATTATACTTTAAAACTCAAAAAAACAAAATAAATATGATTATAATTTAAAACTATTATTGCATATTTATTTTAAAAAATCTCTAAGTGGAAAAGTGATATATTTTTTACGTAATAGTCATGGGGTCCATAACTTTTCCACTCTTCTCTGATAAAATCCTGATTCTGCTGATGGGAGCTCCCCCTTAGTTTCAATGTTATCCTGGGCAACTCACTTAAAGGCAATTAATCCATTAGAAGGCTTGCAGCTTATAAATTAACTTAAAAATTATTTGTCCAAATTGGGATAGAATAGAATAATATTATTCTTATTTGTTGGAATTTGGGTGGACAAATATGGAGTGAATTAGGTAGCTTGAAACAGAGAGAAGGTTGTCACAAAAATTCAGAACAGCTAATTAAATTTCAATTTTAAATAAACAACATGCAAGTTCATAGTTATGTCCCAAATATTTCATGAGACATACTTACAGTTAAAAATATGTGTTGTTTTATCTGAAGTTCAAATTTAATTGGCTGTCTTGTAATTTTATCTTCTAAATACAAAAACCCTATAGAGATGACAATAGGACTAAGTGGCCATGAACCAGCTGAAGTTATAAGGAAATTTAAAATCGTGAGGAAGCAGAAGCTGTGACAGATAGTACAGTTTGAGGGTAAGCAGAGGTCCTTAGCTTGCTTTTATTAAACAAACAGGAAGATAATTTGCAACGAAACATAAAAACTATAGCTTTTATAAATCTTTCAGAAAAAGTCAAACACTGTGCTAGCATTGGGCAAATGAAAATAGTCAATTCATGTAAAAGATATAAAGATAGCTAACAAACTTGTGAAAATGTGTTCAACTGCTTCCTAATTGAGGAAATGACAAGAGAGTAAGTTTTTTTAAACCAAGTTTTATAAGTCAAGATAAAAAAGATTGACATTGCTCAGAGGTATCAAGAACATGGGACAATTGGGTCTCCATTTTTTGGTAAAAATCTAAATTGTTATAATAATTTTTAGAGGAGTATGTGGTGATATATAGCTAAACATATGAATGAGTAGTTGAAATATGTGACCATAAGTCAGGAAACCTCCTTTTACCTTTCTTGGGGTGATGTTGAACGACTTAGGCACCAGAGCAGCTTGGACTACAGGTGTGAGCCATCATGCCTCACAAAGTTTTAAAATTTTCTGGAAGAGACAAGTTCTCATTTTGTTGCCCCGGCTGGTCTCGAACTCCTGGCCCAAGCGATCTTCCCACCTTGGCCTCTCAAAGTGTTGGGATTACAGGTGTGACCCACTGCACCCAGTCAGGTGTAGTCCCTTAAATCAACTTTTTTTTGTACAATGGAGTCTCACCAGCCATTAATGAGACGAAATCAAAGATTCATCCCCACACAGAATCCCTAGATAGGTAAGGAATTCCTTTCTATATGTCTCAAGTCCATCTTATTTCGATTTTTAACTTTTGTTTCTTTAATACAAGCCGCCAACTTCTAGCTTGTAACTGGTTTTCCAAGAACCACCTTTGTCCACTAAAAATTCCTTTTGCATCCTAAACAGAATAATCTTTCTCAAAGTGCAAATCTGCACCTTAGAATATTCAACACTTTTCCCTCCCTCATCCTTCTCTTGCTTGGAAACATTCATCGGCTTCCTCTTGCTCTTAGGATAAAGACCAAAAAGCAAAGACCGAAATCCTTGACATGACTTATTGACTACCATTTCAGCCTTTTCCACCACATTGTCTTCACCATCTGTTTGATGAGACCTGAACCTCTTCAGTTACTGGAGCTCATGATACTGTCTTCCTGACAGGCTCCAGACTTGATCTCTCTCTGTTCTCTATTTGATTGGTTAGTATTACTCATTGACCATACCCTAGCTCTGCCCTGGCTAACTCAGGAAATTCTTCTCTAGTCATGGGTAAAATTCCCAATTAAATAAGCATTTGTAGCACTGTGGTGTGTTTCTCTTTCTTAGCACTA
Source organism: Homo sapiens (assembly GCF_000001405.40). Classification (NCBI taxonomy): domain Eukaryota; kingdom Metazoa; phylum Chordata; class Mammalia; order Primates; family Hominidae; genus Homo; species Homo sapiens. The sequence continues at coordinate 156,476,486 of NC_000004.12, read as the reverse complement.
ACCACATTGGAATGTTATGTCTTACTTGCGTGGTTGATTCATGTCTCTCTCACTCACTAGAGACTAAGCTGCATGAGTACGTGAATCATGTCTGGTTTTCTCTCTATTATGGGATCATATTTGAAAAAAGCTCTCTGAATGAAGGAGTAAAACATTGATCTGTTTTCTACACATGATGATGGGCTGGGAGCAATGTAAGTAGGCATGAGGGAATTTCCATCTAAGTTTATGATAGAGGTTTAAGTGTCCCCACATTACCAGTGATTAAAGAAGAGAGAAGCAAAGTGTCAGGTTAATATCACCTTTTTCTTAACCTTTATCTGGCCCCATTTTAATGAGGTCTTTCCAAGCCATTTTCATGACTTATGCACCATGGTTAAAGTTACCCTTTTTCAGATGAGTTGTACCCAATGTGGGAGAAGACAAAGTGGGATACTTGGTGCCAAGTTTAAACTGATTTGGGTGAGACTATAGTTCCATAGTCTATGTTAACTTTCGGCCTAGAACGCTTTGCAAATTCAGCATAAAATAGCTATACCAAGCATGTTTGGAGTTTTCTTGAGCCATGTACTGGTGCGATATAATCTATTAGTTTGATGAAATAAATGGAAATAACTTTTAAAGGGAAAATGCTTTTTATAAGTATGGCTATCTGTCAACTTCGTTGTTTTTCCTTATAACTCTCTCTGAATATAAGAGAGCAGTACCGATTGTATATTTTCTCTCACTATCTTCCCAAGACTAGCAATCTAATTCAATTCACTGAGGTTGAGTCCACTAGAAATTTTGTTTGTTGTCTTCATGCTTTTATTCTAAAGATAATTTAAAAATTACAAAACAGATCTGGAAAATGTCTAATGATGTAGTTTGCTGAGTATAAAGAAGTATTAAATTAGGCTAAAAGTCAGGAGCTTTCATTATGTATTCAACATACTGAATATGATATGGTGTTTGGTATCTGCTGCCAGAGTATTGCTTCTAGACAGGCTAATCTGTACTCCAAGAATGACACCCTGTGGCTGAATAGATCAATAGCAGAAAGCTCATTTATCATTCTCTTCTTTGTCTTTTAAAAAAATAGTCATTGCAAAATGGGATTTATATACAATTCACTTTAATAAAAAATTATTTTATGACAAAGCCCCTTAAATGTTTAAAATGGATTGAAAAGGGCTAGCATGAATAAAGAAAACATTTCAATATTTATTGCTCAATGTATGTGCTATATATGAGCTATGTCAACATATATCATTAACACATAGCAATAATTTGTTACACAAGTAGGTAGGGATTTTTCTCTTAAAAATAGTTCATAACATTTCATTGTGTTTAAAACTTGAGGAGTGTATTCATTTCTGTTGTTTTAACTGGAGCCTCAAGGCAACACTGAATAATCTCTAATAGCTATGTTAATATTTCTATGTTTTACAATTATAGAAATGCAAGGTAAATGAGGGTTAAAAGAATTTTCGTTTTCTTTCTTTTTCTTTTTGAGACAGAGTCTCGCTCTGTCGCCCAGGCTGGGGCGCAGTGGTGCAATCTCGGGTCACTGCAACCTCTGCCTCCAGGGTTCAAGGGATTCTCCTGCCTCAGCCTCCTGAGTAGCTGGGACTACAGGCGCGTGTCACCACACCTGTCTAATTTTTTGTATTTTTAGTACAGACGGAGTTTCACCGTGTTAGCCAGGATGGTCTCAATCTCCTGACCTCATGATCCGCCTGCCTCAGCCTCCCAAAGTACTGGAATTATAGGTGTGAGCCACCGCGCCCAGCTCAAATTGCTTTTGATTCTGAGTAATTTACTTATAGCTTGAATGTATACTTATAAGTTAATACTATAACAAAGCAGAGTAAGATTTTTTATTACAAATGGATATAATGTAGTTTAGCCATGTTATAAACGTGATGCAGAAAAACACAGTAATATAACAATAAAATATACAATTATATAAACACATTTTAATACATTAAACTAGAAAGAAGAAAATTTCTTATTTAAAAAATCATTCTTTATTATCCCTGCATTTAATGCCTCATGATATTCCTATCACTGCATTCCTTTTACTTTATTATTTTTCATTTTTCTTCCATTTTTATTTTAAGTTCCCAGGTACATGTGCAGGATGTGCAGGTTTGTTACATAGGTAAACAGATGCCATGGTGGTTTGCTACACAGGTCAACCCATCACCTAGGTATTAAGCCCAACATCCATTAGCTCTTCTCCCTGATGCTCTCCCTCCCTCTACCTCCCCATCTCAGGCCCCAGTGTGTGTTGTTCCCCACCATGTCTCCATGTGTTCTCATTGTTCAGCTGCCACTTATAAGTGAGAACATGAGGTCCTTGTTTTTCTGTTCCTGCATTAGTTTGCTGAGGATAATGGCTTCCTTCTAATTTGATCTTAAAAACCCCACATTTTCTTGTGGGCCCTGAGTGTTTGGGTCAGGGGGAAGCAGCCTCTTGTAGAAGCATGTCTATATAACTTATGCTTTGCTGTCCCTGATCTGCTACTTATTTGGAGTAGCTTGGAGGGTAAGGAGGGATATGAGTCTGAGCTGGGAGCAGCAGAGATCAGACCAGTGAGGGAGTTGTATGCCTCTGATAACTGTGAGCAAGCTCTCTCTCCCTAATTATCCTGAGTTCCTTGTGCAGTCAAAGCTAGAATTTCATCCTTTCTCCTATAAAACAAATATTTTAAATGCAATTCCTGGATTATATTATCCAGATTTGAAAAACCTTGAAAAGCTTTTCATATACTTGCTTTAAAATTCAACATATTTCTCTCTAATTACACTTTAAATGCAAACGAAGTGCCTGCCTAAAGGGCGTCCATAGACTGACTGGCTTCATAGTTGAATAAATGTTTAATTTTTACAACTGATATACCTTGTCCAGAGTACAGATAAAGCTTTTGGAAAAAATGATAAAACTACCAACAACACAGCAAAAAAGTCATTGTAAAGAAAGAGTCAAAGAAGATAACAGGAAATGTAAGTTATGTGGCTAACCCAATTTGTGCTCATATTTTGCTGTCCTGTCTTAGTTTACAAAAATGAAATAAAAAATGTAGTAAGGTGGTCCGTACTGAAACTATGAAAATCAGTCATATTCGGTGATTCACAGAACTCAGGGTTTCAATATGTACCTTAAGGTCCTCAGTGTTGCTTAAGTTCATACCAATAACGTAACATCCAAAGTAGTTTCACAATTAATTTATAAAGGTTTCCCAAATAAGAAGCCTAGTATCAGAATACATAACCTCCCACAGTCTTCAGTTTGAAGCTGAAGGCTGCCAAGACATGAACAGAGCTGTGAGACTGGGAGTATGCACACACAGAATCCCTGTGAGGAGACAGACCAAAGATAGCACAATTAGCCAGAAGAGAGTTTGTAAAAACTTGATCATATAAGCTGCTGACAACCACTGGAGCTCAATTAGGCCTGGAATTTCACTTTGGAATGGCTAGAGTTTAAATTGCCAACTACTCAAATCCACATTTACACTTATTTTATGAATCTATACTGTGGCCCAATTGCTGTAGTGGTGAAAACTACACACCTGGTTGTAAAATAAGGTATGAAATATGTTTTCTAACCAAGGGGAAAGTGTTCTCATCAGCCACAAGGTTTAATTCACGGTAGCCTCATCATCTATAATATATGATGACATCCAGGCTCAGCTGCCAACTACTGATATTAATTACTGAGACTTGATTGGGGTTAACCACTTTTGCTTAAGGTTTCAGCATTCTCTAATTTCAGCTGTCTCTGTGATTCAGTGCTCTAAATACTTATTAGAAATGACAGGATGTGCAAAACATGAATCTAGAAGGACCCAAGGAATATCATCAGATAGGATCATCCAGTCTAGTTTATCTACATATGAGATTCTCTTAAATTTAAACTTGAAATTCTTCCTCTTATTTGTTTCCAATCTATGTCTGTGCTTATGTAAAGGCAATAGGGTTCCTTTTCCCGTATTTTTGAAACCATAATATTATTGGTTACAGGATATAACCTAATGGCTTCCTCTGCATTCTGATGCATAGCCCAGATATTATGATATCATTATTACTAAAAAGACATTATGATATTTTAATATGGTTCTTAAATGGCATCATATGATAAATGTCTTAAGTATTCACAAACAAATACGTTTTTATAGTTTGAAATTAATCAACTTGGGCTGCATTCAGAAAACAGAAAAAATAAAATAAGTGATAAATGTTATACATTACTTAATGAAAATTATCCCATTACATTAAAAAAAGATTTTAAAGTTTATTGAGTTGGTCTTTAAGAATGTATTTGCATATGTATTAAATTACACATGAAAAACTAGAAATGTTTTGATTTCATGACAAAGTAATTTTATTTACAAATAGTCTTATTAAAGAACCATTAAAGACTGTTGTAATTGAAGAATAGTTTTTCCAGTTAAAACCAAATTTTCAAAATTAATAGTAAGTTGACCCATTTCCACAGTCTCCATATCTGTCTTCTAAACATTTTTCAAAAGTCTCAAAATGACAAGAAATATTTTACTTCAGTACAATCAAGCAAATGAAACAAACTTAGAGACCATGAAGATAAACTAGACACATCTTCATAAGCACGAAACATTTTTTATGTCACAAAAAATATATTTGAGTTTTCCAAAGACAACTAAATAACACATTTGCTTCCTTTGAAAATAACATTGCTTCATTTAAAAACACTTGGGAGAGGTTGGTGTGGTGGCTCACCCCTGTAATCTCAGCACTTTGGGAGGTTGAGCCAGGAGGAATGCTTGAACTTAGGAGTTCAAGAAGAGCCTAGGGGGCACACAGTGAGTCCTCATCTCTACAAAAAAAAAAAAAAAAAATTAGCTGGGTGTAGGGACATGTGTGCCAGTAGTCTCAGCTACTTGGGAGGCTGAGGTGGGAGAATTGCTTGAGCCTGGGAAGTTGAGGCTGCAGTGAGCTGTGATTTCATCACTGCACTCCATCCTGGGCAGCAGAGTAAGACCCCGTCTCAAAAAACAAAACACACACACACACACACACACACACACACACACACACGAGAAATAATTATTTTCCTAAGACGCCAAATTCCTTAAATAGATGCCTATTCCTGTTCTCTATTGTTAAGCAAGTAGGCTTTGTGACATATTTGTTACATAAATGGAGTAAGGATTCCCCCCTTTTATGTTGCCCTAAATTGTTTACTTCTTCATAGCAAGCTGGAACCCATTTGCTCAAAACATCATGGGTGCCAAATTCAAATTTTTATGTATCCAGTTGCTTTAAATGTAGCCCGATAGATAGAATTTTAGCCATTTAGAGCCCAATGCTTTGTGGACCCCACAAAACTGCTCTCATTGTCTGCTGGCCATAGACAAGATGATTAACCCCAGAGCTATGAATGACCCCAGGCTGCTGCTGCCCTTTGGAGATCCCTGATCCAGAGATTCCCCATCTTGCTGCTGAGTGACATCATTTGCACATGAATCCCCATTGCCCATGCCCCATCTGCCCCAGGAGGACCTTCCTTCTTCTGCTTCTGAATGGGGACCTCTGGACCCTCTCATTCTATGAGGGACTTTCCCCACATGCAAACCTGTAAATGTCTGACCCAAATAAAGGTCTTTGAGGGCTAGTTCTATCTTGTGGTCATCTCTTTTTCCTTGATCAGCTGCAAAATCCTTTGACCTCCCTACAATGCTTTTAGATAAGAAAGAGACCAACAGTTAACATCATTAAATATAAATCTCAGTCCCTATAGGATCTATTTGATTGTTTCCATTTCAATTATTTTCTTTTTGTTCTCCTGGCATGTCCTAGAAGAAATAAATTTTTAGCTGGGCTCCAGAGAACTGAAAAAATATTCCATAACATATGTATTTCTTCTATGACCCTTTGATTTTTTTTCTAATTAATCTTCACTCCACAGTTTTGAAGCAAGACAAACTTTATTTTTCTCTGTATTATTCTTTCCCATTGACCTTCAATAATATCTCAGGAAATACTGTATACTTGAAAAGCAGGCAGAGGTAAAATAATTCAGAGGAGTTATTTTGTGTTTCTTACTATAGTAAAGGCATTTCATATAGAATTTCACATTTTTATTCCAAAAGGCAAGTTCAGAGCTTTTTTCTATGGTGGTAAAAACATACAATTTACTATCTTAACTATTTTTAAGTGTACAATACAGTAGTGTTAACCATATGAACAATTTTGTGCAATAGCTCTCTGGAACTTTTCATCTTGCATGACTGAAACACTATACCCATTGAACAACTCTGCTTTTATACTTCCTCTCTGCCTCTGGCAACAACCATTCAACTTTCTGCTTCTAAGATTTTTCCTACTTTAGATATCACCATATTACATCCACTTATAAAGTAGAATCATGCAATGAGTCTCTTTGTGACTGGATTATTTCACTTAGCATAATGTCCTTAAAGTTCATCAATGTTACGGTATATGGCAATATTTCACTGTATGTATATACCACATTTTCTTCATCCATTCATCTGTCAATGGACATATAGGTTGTTTCTTACTCTTAGCTATTGTGAATAATGCTGCAGTGATCGTGGTCATGCAAATATCTCTTTGAGATCCTGTTTCATTTATTTTAGATATATACCCCTAAGTAGGATGGCTTGACCATATGGTAATTAGATTTTAACTTTTTGAGGAATCTTCATATTATTTTCCATGGAGGTCGCACCACTTTACCCTCCCATCAATAGGGCACAAAGGTTTTAATTTCTCCACATCCTGTCCATTTCTCGTTATTTGTTTTGTTTTGTTTTTTGGATAATAGTAGTTACCCTAGTGGGTGTGAGGTGATATCTCATTGTAGTTTTAATTTCCAATTCCCTGATGGGTAGTAATGTTGAGTATCTTTTCATGATGCTGGTGGTCATTTGTATATCTTTAGAGTAATGTCCATTCAAATCTGTTGCCCATTTTTAATTCGGTTATTTGTAAAGTTGTAATTTTTTATATACACTGTATATTAACTGCTTATCAGATATGCAGTTTGAAAAATTTTTCCCAATTTGTAGGTTTCATTTTTCACTCTGTTGATTTTTTCATTTTCTGTACAGCAGTTCTTAAGTTTGACGTAGTACCACTTGATTATTTTTCCTTTTGTTGCCTGTGATTCTGGTGTTATATTTAAGAAAACATTGCCAAATGCAGTGTCATGAAGCTTTCTTTTCCCTTGTTTTCTTCTAAGACTGTTATCATTTCAGGTCTTACATTTAATTCTTTAGTCTATTTTGAGTTAATTATTGCATACGATATAAGGTAAGGGTTTAACTTTATTCTTTTGCATGTGGATATTCAGTTTTCCCAACACCATTTGTTGAAGAGATGACACTGTCTCAATTATGAAGACTTGGCACCCTTATTGAACATCATCTGACCATACATATGAAGTTTTACTTCTGAGCTCTCTATTCTGCTCAATTAAGCTACATGTTTGCCTTTATGCTATTATCACACTGTCTAAATTACTCTAGCTTTGTAATATTTTTTAAAATCAGGAAGCCTAAGGCTTTCAACTTTATCTTTCTCAAGATTGTTTTGCCTATTTGAGGTCATTTGAGATTTCATATCAGCTTTAAGATGATTTTTTTCTATTTATGCAAAAAAAATGCCTTAAAAATTTGATAGAGATTGCATTCACTTTGTAGATTGCTTTGGGTAGAACGGTTATTTAAGCAATATAAAGTTTTTCAATCCATGAACTTTCACCTTCTTGGTTAAGTTTATTTCTAAGTCTTTTATTCTTATTGGTGCTATTATAAATGGGTTTTTGTTTTTTTTTTTTACTTTTAAGTTCAGGAGTACATGTGCAGGTTTGTTACATAGGTAAACTTGCTTCATAGAGGTTTGTTGTACAGCATATTTCATCACCCAGATATTAAGTCTGGTACCAATTAGTTATTTTCCCTGATCCTATCCCTCCTTCCACCCTCTACCCTTCAATAGGCCCCAGTGTGTTGTTCCAATCTATGTATCCATGTATTCTCATCATTTAGCTCCTACTTGTAAGCGTGGTGTTTGGTTTTCTGTTTCTGTGTTAGTTTGCTAAGGACAACGGCCTCCAGCCCCATCCATGTCCCTAGAAAGGGCATAATCTTTCTTTTTTGGGTCTGCATAGATTCCATGATGTATATGTACACAGTTTCTTTATCCAGTCTATCAATGATGGGCATTTAGGTTGATCGCATATTTTTGCTACTGCAAGTAGTGCTGCAATGAACACATATGTGCATGTGTCTTTATAATAGAATGATTTACATTCCTTTGGGTATATACCCAGTAATGGGATTGCTGGGTCAAATGGCATTTCTGTCTTTAGGAATTCTCTTTTTTTGTTGTGTCTCTACCAGGCTTTGGTATCAGGATGATGCTGGCCTCATAAAATGAGTTAGGGAGGATTCCCTCTTTTTCTGTTGATTGGAATAGTTTCAGAAGGAATGGTACCAGCTCCTCTTTGTACCTCTGATAGAATTTGGCTGTGAATCCATCTGGTCCTGGACTTTTTTTGATTGGTAGGCTATTAATTATTGCCTCAATTTCAGAGCCTGTTATTGGTCTATTCAGGGATTCAACTTCTTCCTGGTTTAGTCTTGGGAGGATGTATGTGTCAAGGAATTTATCCATTTCTTCTAGATTTTCTAGTTTATTTTCATAGAGGTGTTTATAGTATTCTCTGATGGTAGTTTATATTTCTGTGGGATCAGTGGTGATATCCCCTTTATCATGCTACTATAAAGACACATGCATAAGTATGTTTATTGCAGCACTATTCACAATAGCAAAGACTTGGAACCAACCCAAAAGTCCATCAATGATAGACAGGATTAAGAAAATGTGGCACATATATACCATGGAATACTATGCAGCCATAAAAAAGGATGAGTTCATGTCCTTTCTAGGGACATGGATGAAGCTGGAAACCATCATTCTCAGCAAACTATCACAAGGACAGAAAACCAAACACCGCATGTTCTCACTCATAGGTGGGAATTGAACAATGAGAACACTTGGACACAGGGTGGGGAACATCACACACCGGGGCCTGCCCTCGGGTGGGGGAGGGGGGAGGCATAGCATTAGGAGATATACCTAATGTAAATGACGAGTTGTTGGGTAAAGCAAACCACCATGGCACATGTATACATATGTAACAAACCTGCACATTGTGCACATGTACCCTAGAACTTAAAGTATAATAAAAAAAAATTAAAAAAATATGTAGCCCAGCCATGTGGTAGAAAAGAAAAACCTATTTTCTAGGGACAAATTCAAGACTGCTGCAGAAATTTGCATAAATAAAGAGGAGCCCAATGTTAATAGCCAAGACAATGGGGAAAATGTTTCCAAGGCATTTCAGAGACCTGTATGGAAGACCCTCCTATAACAGGTCCAGAGGCCGAGAAGGGAAAAATGGTTTTGTGGGCCAGGCCGAGTGCACAAATTTTCTCTCCAGCCTCTGGACACAGTGCCCTGAGTCCCAGCTGCTCCAGCTCCAGTCATGGCTAAAAGAGGCCAAGGTACAGCTTGGGCCATGGCTTCACAGGGTGCTAGCCCCAAGCCTTGGTGGCTTTCATGTGGTTTCGGGCCTGCAGTTGCACAGAAAACAATAACTGAGGTTTGGGAACCTCTACCCAGATTTCAGAGGATATATGGAAATGCCTGCATGTCCAGGCAGAAGTCTGCTGCAGGGGCAGAACCATCATAGAGAACCTCTACTAGGGCAGTTCAGAGGGGAAATGTGGAGTTGGAGCCCCCATAAAGAGTTTCTACTGGGGCACTGCCTAGGGGAGCTGTGAGAAGAAGGCCACCATCCTTCAGACCCCAGAATGGTAGATCCACTGACAGCTTACACTGTGTGCCTGGAAAAGCTGCAGACACTCAATGCCAGCCCGTGAAAGCAGCAGGGAGGAAGGCTGTACCCTGAAAAGCCATAGGGGCAGAGCTGCCCATGACCATGGGAACCTACTTCTTGCATCAGCTTGACCTGGATGTGAGACCTGGAGTCAAAGGAGATCATTTTGGAGCCTTAAGATTTGACTGCCCTGTTGGATTTTGGACTTGCAAGGGGCCTGTAGCCCATTTGTTTTGGCCAATTTCTCCCATTTGGAATGGGCATATTTAGCCAATGCTGTATTCCCGTTGTAACTAAGAAGTAACTAGCTTGCTTTTGATTTTACAGGCTGATAGGTGGAAGGGACTTGCCTTGTCTCGGATGAGACTTCGGACTGTGGACTTTTGACTTAATGCTGAAATGAGTTACGACAATGGGGGACTGCCCCGGCCAGAACTTCTAATACTATATTGAATAGGAATGGTGAGAGAGGGCATCTTTGTCTTGTGCTGGTTTTCAAGGGGAATGCTCCCATATTTTGCCCATTCAGTATGTTGTTGGCAATGGGTTTGTCATATATGACTGTTATTTTAAGATATGTTCCTTCAATACCCAGTTTACTGAGAATTTTTAACATGAATGCCCTTTGCATTATCCTTTGTTAGTGTGTAGAAATACAAGTGGTTTTTGTATGTTAACTTTGCATTGTGCAATTTTACTACACTTGTCTATTAGTTCTAACAGCTGTGTGTTGGTGTGTGTGTGTGTGTGTGTGTGTGTGTGCAATCTTTAGAACTTTCTACATATAAGAAAATGTCATTTGCAGACATCAGTTTTACTTCTTTCTTTCCAATTTGAATGCCTTTTATTTCTTTTTCTGGCCTAACTGCTTTGGTTAGGACTTCTAGTCCAAATTTATAATTTTATGTTTTGTTTTTCGAGACAGGGTCATTCTCTGTCACCTAGGCTAGAGTGCAGTGGTGTGATCATTGCTCACTGTAACCTAGAAACTCCTGGGCTCAAGCAATCCTCCTGCCTGGATCTCACAAACACAAGGACTGCAGGTGCGTGCCACCACACCCAGTTCTTTTTTTTCTTTTTTTTTTTTTGTAGAGATGGGGTCTTACTATGTTGTCCAAGCTGGTCTTGAACTCTTGGCCTCCAAGGATCCTCCTACCTTGGCCTTCCAAAGTACTGGGATCATAGACATGAGCCACTGTGCCTAGCTAAGTTTACAACTTGTAACAGTAGGTAGTGTTCTTTTATTATAGAATGATTATTCTGCTGTCACCTGTTGGTAGATATGAGTGTGGAATTACATTTCCACTTTGAGGGGTTCATACTCAATGATTAATGAAAACCTTTTTCTCTTTAGTACTAATGATAATATTACTAATTTACTGCTTTTATTTTACAGATTACAACTTGGTAGGTAATTTTACTTTACTCAGTGAAATATTTTTTCAAATGGAGTTATTATTGTTATATGTGTCTCTAGAATTGTCCAAAAATATCTGTCCCAAAGCAATTAATAAAACTTTTGCTCTCATTAGAAATAGACTATAAGGTGTTGTAAAATATAAACCTTGCTTGTCTTCTGTGACTAGCTAGCTATGAGTTTCACTGTATTTGATCTCTGATAATTGTTTATAAACAATCCAGTTTTGAAAAGATCTTTTTCAGACCTATTTCAGTTTAACTATAAATAAAAACTCCTTGAATATATCACTACTCTCATGTTCAACGTGCATCTGTCATCCAGTGATTAATCTTTGGATGACTTTTTTGAGTGCTAAAGTTACTTTATTAGAAAGTCCAGCAAAGAGAAATACAGTTTTGTTACTGGAAAAATTTCTTTTTCATCATAGTTCATCACATCTGACTTAGACAATCACATTTCTTGCAAGTCTGTTTTTTCCTCTACATAGAACTGTCTCCACTTAAGAAGTTTTAAAAATGCCTACTTTGTGCATAATACTATAAAAGCTAAATCAAATTATTCCCTTTTATTATATTGGCATGTCTCATCTTGAATCACTTTTGCAATATTACTCTTGCTATTGATTTATTCATTCAAACGAGATTGATTGAGCACCAGAGAGCACTAGGCTGAGTACTGGGATGAAATAAATAAATAAATGTGAATGGCAAAAATCTCATAGCCAAGGCATGTAACAGACACGTCATCCTCTGAGTAAAATACATTGTAAAAATATGTATAATGAGATGGCCAAAGTCTTCATTTTTCTACTAGTGTCCTTGACTTCACACATTGTCTTTCAACTCTCTAAAATGCTCTTTATCATAATTCATCATTAAACTCATTCTAACATCCTTTGAAATTGCTCTGATGAAACCTCCATTAGGCAGATTTTATTCTTCTTCCCAAATTCAGGGTAGAAGGGAGGTTCTTCACCTTCTTGCTGTTTCACATCAGATCACTAATCAAATTAATTGTATGATAAGTTAGTCTTCCCTCTAGACTAAATTTTTCAGTGATGGGTTATAAAATTTTCTTATATACCCTCAACTAAACCTGTGCATAGGAAGTGCTTGAAGTGGCTTAGTGCCTACATGAAACAGTAAGTCCTAGAGTGTGAGAGCATACAAAAGTGAAAACAGTTAACTCTGCTGTTATTGAAGCTGGGCCAGGGAGCAGTCAGGAAACCTTCCTAGAAACGATGACATTTAGATCTTTTCAATGAGGAAATAGAAAGAAAAGGGTATGTCCGGGAAAAGAGCACTTCATTACACAGATAATAAATGTAAAAATTTTAGTTTTAGAAATTTCTCTGCAGTTTTTGATAACCATTTTTTCCTCCCTAAAATATCCTGTGTACTTTCAGATATATTACATATTACAGTTTCCAAATCTACTGTATAATTTGACTTAAAATGCCTCATTTCTCTTCTCTGTCATTTACTGTATGTTTTACAGTGATCACAATAAAATAAAAGTAGAAATCAATAACAGAATGGATATTAGAAAGTGCAAAAGTTCATGGAAGTTAAAGAACATGCTCCCAAACAGTGAACAGGTCAATGAAGAAGTAAAAAAGGAGTTAAAAATTTCCTTGAACAAAAATGGAAATACAGCATACCAAACTTATGGGATACAGTAGAAACAGTTCTAGAAGGGAAGTTGATAGAAATAAATGCCTACATCATACAAGTAGAAAGATTTCAAATAAACAACCTAATGATGTACCTCAGAGAACTAGAAAAATAAGAACAAACCAAACCCCGAACTAGTAGATGAAAAAAAATAATACAGGTCAGAGCACAAATAAATAAATTAAGACTAAGAAATTACAAAGGATCAACAAAATAAAAAGGTTGTTTTTTGAAAGGACAAACAAAACCAACAAACCTTTAGCTAGACTAAGAAAAAGAGAATAACTAAATAAAATCACCGTTGTAAAACGAGACATTAGAACTGATACCACAGATCGTTAGATATTATCATAAACACATTAGATATTAGAAATTATTGTTAGATATTATCATAAATACCTATATGCAAACAAATAGGAAAACCTAGAAGAAATGGATAGATTCCTGGACACATACAACCTCCCAAGAATGAACTATGAAGAAACAGAAAACATGAACAGACCAATAATGAGTAACGAGATTGAAACAGTAATAAAGTCTCCCTTCAAATAAAAACCCAGGACCCGATGGCTTCCCTGCTCAATTCTAACAAACATTTAAAGAAGAACAAACACAAATTCTACTCAAATTATTCCAAAAAAATTCAAGAAGAGGAAACTTCAAAATTCATTCCATGAGGTTGTCATTACCCTGATATCAAATGCAGATAAGGAAATAACAACAACAAAAAAAGCATAAGCTGACATACCAGATGAATGTAGATGCAAAAATCATCAGCAAAATACTAGCAAAATGAACTCAATAACACAAGATCATTAACAAGTTCATTTGTCATGATCAAGAGTGATTTATCCCATGGATGCAAGGATGGTTGAACATATGCAAATCAATTAGTAGAACACATAAAATTAATAGATAAAAACAAAAACCATTTACTAGTTTCAATGTATGCTGAAAACGCATTTGGTAAAACTCAACATCCCTTCATGATAACAATTCTCAGCAAACTGGGTGTAGAAGGAAAACACCTCAATATAATAGAGGCCACATTTGACAAACCATGCCTAACATCTTACTGAATGGGAAAAAATAGAAAACCTTTTTGAAAAGATTTAGAACAAGACAAGCATGCCCACTTTTACCACTTTTACTCAACACAGTACTATAAATCCCAGCCAGAGCAATTAGTAAAGAGAAAGAAATGAAGGGCTTCCAAATTGAAAAATAAGTCATCAAATTATTCTTGTTCACAGACAACATGATACTATATTTAGAAAAGCCTAGGTTCCACACACACACAAATAAACTGTTAGAACTGATTAAAAAAACTTCGTAACGTTGCAGGATATAAAATAAACTTGCACTGGGTGCAGTGGCTCACGCTTGTAACCCCAGCACTTTGGGAGGCCGAGGAGGGCAGATCACGAAGTCAGGAGTTTGAGGCCAGCCTGGCCAACATGGTGAAACCCTGTCTCTACTAAAGATGCAAAAAATTAACCAGGCGTGGTAGCACGTGCCTGTAATCCCAGCTACTAGGGAAGCTGAGGCAGGAGAATCACTTGAACCTGGGAGGCAGAGGTTGCAGTGAGCCGAGATCACGCCATTGCATTCCAGTCTGGGTGACAGGGCAAGACTCCACCTCAAAAAAAAAAAAAAAAAACTTGCAAAAATGATAGCATTTCTATATATCAACAGAGAAAAATCTGAAAAAGAAATCCCATTTACAGTAACTACAAAGAAAATTTCCTAAGAATCAATTTTACTAAAGAAGCGAAAAATCCATACAATAAAAATTACAAAACAGTGATAAAAAAATGAAGAGAACACACAAAGAATGGAAAAATATCCCATGCTCACAGATTCAAAGAATTAATATTGTTAAAGTGTCTATGGGATCCCAGTCAATCTACAGATTCAATGCAATCCCTATTGAAATACCAATAACGAAATAGAAAAATCAATCCTGAAATCGATACGGAACCACAAAAGACCTTGAATAGCTAAAGCAATCCTGAACAAAAAGAAACAAAACTGGCAGGGCATGGTGGCTTTCACCTGTAATCTCAACGTTTTGGGAGGCTGAGGCGAGATTATCATTACAACTTCATGATTAGTTGTTCTTGGTAAGCTTTATCTTATTACCACTATCCAATCCTCTTACTCTAATTTGCTCATTACCACTGCTGGCAGACAACTTGATTTCTACTTTGGAGCCGCGTAGCTAGCCACTCTCTAATCACTATTTGTTGCTTAGTTCACCCATCATCTTCTTAGGAAGCCTTCTCCAAACTCTTCACTTCCACCTAGTCCCTAGCGAGGTTAGGTGCTTATTTTTTCACCCATGCACATGTATTTACTGAAGTGCATTATAATGATCAGTTTATGTGTCTTTGTCCCACATGACACTGTGAGAGACATGAGGAGCAGTCTGGTATTCTCTCCTTACACTGGCATTCTCAGCACTCCCAATTGACCTTGGTATGTAATATTGATAATAGCTTACAATCATGTAGTACTCACTCTAGGGCAGACCCTGTTCTAGTCACTTTGTATATTGACATGTTCAATTCTCACATAATAGTTTTGAGGTTGGTACTATTATTCACTCGGTTTTGCAAATGACCCAGAAAAATTGCATAACCAGCTTAAGGTGATAGAGCTGGAAAGCAGCAGAACTGAGATTTCAACCTGATTGATCTGGCTCTAGAGCCTATGTTGTTAACCTCCACACGGCTTTACCTCAGTGTAGATGAATGGCATTGCTATTTTGTGGATACTTTTAATGTTGTTAGAGTTGAAGATACCAACCTGTGATAAGGGTTATTTTTAGTGATATAATAATATAGATGAATTATCATGGATTGAAATAATTTTGTGGAGGTATTGGAAATCCAGCCACCTTTTAAAATGTTGCTATCATGAGAAACTGTTTAATTAACACGATGAATTTTTTTAATGGAGCCTTTTTTATGCTGATGGCTCCCAAACTAGGAAATTATAATAGCATGGCATGATATTACATGTAATATAAATAAAAATAAATGCTCTAGTTTGAAATGAGCTGTCATAGGGATGTAAGTCACATGGTAATAAAAGTACTCAAAAGACTGGATGGCTATCTGTTAGGAATTCTGTAGAAGGAATACTTTTGCCTAGGACCTATTATTTCCTAATAATAGCAATGATAATTTATTGAGTGCTTACCATATTAGTTTTTTGCATTTATAAATATATTATTTTCTCCATTTTACATTTAGATAACTGAGACTCAGAGAAGTTTAAGTCACTTGCTCTAGGTCACAGAACCAAATATGTAGTAATTATTTATTAAATGAATGAATGCCTTGGATACTTTACAGACTAAAAATCCTGTAAAATATTTACCAATTCTTAGAATCCAATCTGTACTGATAATTATCATATTTGCGACAGAACATGATTTTTCAAATAGGCTTTCTAGCTTTACAAAAATTTATACTTTATATGAAGAAAACTTCCTCAATCTAAAAGGTACAACTCATTTTTTCATGTCTCATTTCAGTTAGTAGCATATTCTCCACTAATTTTGTCCATGTGACCTTTGGATTTTGTAATGAAGAAAGCAAGGAGAAAATGTTTTGATGGCACTGCCTTTTATTGATTGGCATGAGGCAGTAAATGTATTTGGAATCCAGGGGCAACAGGTCAAGTTCCTAGTACAGAAGTGGTAATGGTCCTGGCAGTTGCAATAAAGTCAGTGTCTTGGCATGACGCACTCAGTGGCACCAGTGTCAGCCTTGTCATCAGATCGGTCGTTGGCCTGGTGTGCGTGTTGTTCCTGGAAGCTAAACTTTAAGTCCATCTTTGCATCCCTTCCCAAGACTCTATGAGTAACCTAATATATTCTGAGAAGCCGTTATTCAGCTTAAAGTGATCAGAAAGACTTCTGTTGTTCCCAACTGAGAATTTGCCCAATACGTATACTTTTAAAAATACACTCAAGTCCTTCTGAACTAAAGAGGATGTGTTAATATTTCTGCATGCATGTTGGATGTGTTTTTATTAAAAACTGATAAAGATATTAGATTTTTCTTTGCTTTTTTATATTAAACTCCCTGTTATTTAAATCATTTTTGAGAAGTAGCCTTCTTATCCCATTAACGATTGTGGCTTTCCTTCTCTGGAGAAATTCTGATTTATATTCTCTTTTGTAGCTGCCGATGGACATGCCTAGTGCAGGAATAAAGTAATGTCTGCTGGCACTTGCTTCTATTTCCAAATATATATTTATTTCCATACTTGTTTTTACAAAAATTACTAAATCTTTCTTCCAAATCCATGGAGAATAATTAACATTACTGACTGGGACGCTCTAAAAAAGACTCTTACGATAATGCTTCAGTTGCTGAGTACAAAACTCTTGAAAGGAAATGTACTGACAATCACCAAGCTGATGATGTAACTGGATAGCCACCTATCTTCTTCTACCCCCTTAAATATTCTTTGGCAGCATTACCAATTGGGCCACTAAATTCAACTCTCTGTTACAGAAGAAATATACCACAAACCTTGAAAAATGAATTCAACTGTTAGGACCTGTTATCAGATATAGGTCTATAATCTACTCTTGGGGTGCAAAAACAAAGATTAGAGTCAAAACTAAAATGATAATAATTATTATAATAAATATATCCAGGAAATTTTCTCCACTTTGTTGGCAAGAATTTATATATTAACGATGGGTCTTATGTGCCATTTTCAGCTAGTTTTATGAAAAACTGAAGTTATTTTGTTCAGCGAAGGAAGAAAGCAGAAAGCACAGTGTTTAGTTCAATTGTGCTACTGTAATAAAATGCCACAGATGTGATTTATAAACAATAGAGAGTTTTATTTCCCATTTGAGGCTGGGAAGTTCAAGATCAAGGTGCTGGCAGGAATGGTGTCTGGAAAGGGCCTGGTCTCCACTTCTAAGATGATACATTTGTTGCTCTTCTCTGGAGGGGACAAACTGTGTCTTCACTGGTAGAGCAAGGCTAGGGAAAGGCTAGGGAGCACTCCTTAAAACTGGAGCCATTTTATAAGGGTGCTAAGCATATTAATCACTTCCCAGAGGCTGCACCTTTTAAATACTGCTGGGGATTAAGTTCAAGAATTTTGGAAATGACACCATTATTCAAACCATAGCACACAGCAAATGAAGAAATAACTATCACAATTTTTTTTTCTTTTGGAAAAGCAAGTAGCTTTAATTATTTTTTTAAAAAAAACCCATCTAATAAAGTTTGACATTTGCCACATTTTTCATGTCCCATTTGACAGTACTGGAAATAATAAGTAATTTGTTGTCATTAGTAACTCTATTGGAATGTCTAAAATAACATAATTTTATCTTGAGAGAGAAAATATTTTGGAAAAAATATTGATGAATGATTTTAGAGAAAAATACCAAAAATAAGGCAGTGAGGTGACTATGGTGTCACTATTATATCTTAACATGGTAAATAAAATGAAGTATCATGAGATATATTTTTCAACTGGGTGAGAGTAAAAATAAATGTTAGAAAAATAAATATGTTGGAAATTTATCATCACATACGTTGAGACCTGTTTCAGAATAATTATTTACAACGCATATGATGCTTTTTTGAAAAATCCTATTTTAAATATTTTTTTGGAAACTATACAGAACAAATCATAATACTCACTCTAGATAATGAAATAGAGTATGCCCTGTCAAGTAATTCTCAGAGGTTTTGGAAATCAGCACTGTAAGACATGTGGATGCTTGAGTGATTGGACTGACACCAATAAGTAGAAGAAATCAACAGGTCCTCACATCTTTGAGACCCTGCATTAGTGTCCTGAGGCTGAAACAACAAAGTACCACAAACTGGGTGGCTTAAAACAACAGAAATATATTTTTTCACAGTTCTGGAGATTAAAAGCTCAAAATCAAGGCACCAGCAAGGCCATGTTTCTTCTGAGACTGTGGAAACCATTCTTCCTTGCCTCTTCCTGGATTCTGGTGGTGGCCTCAATCCTTGTATTACCCAAAAGGGGTCCCCATCCAGAGTCCAAGAGAGGGTTCTTGGACCTCGCACATGAAAGAATTTGGAGTGAGTCCATAGAGTAAAGTGAAAGAAAGTTTATTAAGAAAGTAAAGGAATAAAAGAATGGCTACTTCATAGGCAGAGCAGAGGCATGGGCTGCTCAACTGATTATACTTATAGTAGCTTCTTGATTATATTCTAAACAAGGGGTGGATTATTCATGAGTTTTCTTGGTAAAAGGTGGTGATTCCCAGACCTGAGGCTTCCTCCCCTTTTTAGGTTATATAGGGAAACTTCCAGACATCATCATGGCATTTGTAAACTGTCATGGCACTGGTGGGAGTGTCTTTTAGCATACTAATGCATCATAATTAGCATATAATGAGCAGTGAGGAGGATCATAGGTCACTCTCATTGCCATCTTAAGTGTTGGTGGGTTTTGGTCAGCTTCTTTTTTTTTTTTTTCACTTTCATTTTCAGTTCCAAGGTACATGGGCAGGGTGTGCAGGTTTGTTACATAGGTAAATATGTGCCAAGGTGGTTTGCTGCACGGATCAACCCATCACCTAGGTATTAAGCCCAGCATCTATTAGCTATTCTTCCTGATGCTCCCCCATGACAGGCCCCAGTCCGTGTTGTTCACCACTATGTGTCTATGTGTTCTCATTGTTCAGCTCCCAGTTATAAGTGAGAACATGCAGTGTTTGGTTTTCTGTTCATGCATTAGTTTGCTGAGGATAATGGCTTCCAGTTCCATCCATGTCCCTGCAAAGGACATGATCTTGTTCCTTTTTATGGCTGCATAGTATTCCATGGTCTATATGTGCCACATTTTCTTTATCCAGTCTATCATTGATGGGCATTTGGGTTGATTCCATGACTTTGCTATAGTGAATAGTGCTGCAACAAACATACATGTGCATGTATATTTATAATAGAATGACTTGCATTTATTTGGGTATATACCCAGTAATGTGATTGCCGGGTCAAAGGGTATTTCTGCCTCTAGGTGTTCGAGGAATCGGCACACTGTCTTCCACAAGGGTTGAACTAATTTACACTCCCACCAACAGTGTAAAAGCATTCCTTTTTTCCTCAACCTCACCAGCAACTGTTGTTTCTTGACTTTTCAATAATCGCCATTCTGACTTTGGCCAGGTTCTTTATCACATCCTTTTATCAGCAAGGTCTTTGTGACCTGTACCTTGTGCTGTCCTTCTACTTCATTTTGCGACTAAGAATGTCCAACCACCTGGGAATGCAGCCCAGTAGGTCTCAGCCTTATTTCACCCATCCCTTATTCAAGATGGAGTTGCTCTGGTTCAAATGCCCCTGACACAGGCTTCTGCACCTTGTAGCAGCATTACTCCAATCTCTTCCTCCGTCATCCTTGACTTTCTCCCTGAATATCTTTGTCCTTACTAGGTGTTTCCCTCTTCTTCCAATGACGCCAGTCGTATTGGATTACAAAGACACTTTTTCTTAACTTGATAAAATCTGCATATGACTTACTTTTAAAGAAGGTCACATTGACAGGTACTGGGGGTTAGGACTTTAACGTATCTTTTGGGGGCACAATTCAATTCATAAGAGCCCCTTAGAACAACACAATATCGCATCACAAAATCATCATTAGCTTCTTGCAATATTGGCCTATTAGATCTTGAAGAAATCTTATGAAAGATCTATCCCAATCTTCACAATTTACAGAAAGAGAAATTATGTGTTAGAGGGGAGAAATGACTGGGCCAATGTAACGTGGTCAATTAATGGCAGAGTGGTGATTCAACCTCATGCTTAGATAGATAGATAGATAGATAGATAGATAGATAGATAGATAGTTGGATATAGATATAAACATTTTTTTTTTTTTCTGGAGACAGAGTCTTGCTTTTGTTGGCCCGGGCTAGAATGCAATGGTGCAATCTTGGCTCACTGCAACCTCTGCCTCCTGGGTTCCAGCAATTCTCTTGCCTCAGCCTCCTGAGTAGCTGAGATGATAGGTACCCACCACCATGCCTGGCTAATTTTTGTATTTTTTAGTAGAGACGGGGTTTCACCATGTTGGCCAGGCTGGTCTCGAACTCCTGACCTCATGTGATCCACCCACCTCAGCCTCCCAACATGTTGGGATTACAGGCGTGAGCCACCGTGCCTAGCCTATATTTATCAGCTAATTCTACCTTGTGATATAGATATTATAAGGTTATTACACTCAGTAGCTTAAAGAGAAAGTAAATCCATACTAATAATTTAGAAATATTTTCATGAAAAGCAATATTGAGTATATGCTTGATATGCTAAGTGTTTAAAGATATTTTTCTAAATTCCTACAATAACCTAATAACATAGTTATTGCTGTTTTAAAGGATAATGAAATTAAATATCAAAATATTTAAGTGACCTGCTTAAGGTTACATAGCTAGTAAATTTCTAAACTGGGATCACAAGTGCCATATATCTTTTGCCAAAACTCATGCTATTTTCAGTACAACATGAGTCCACTTAATAAAATAAAAACTTTTAAAAAGCATTTGGAACACATAACACTATAAGTTTTAATTATTAAGAAAATTAATTTATGTGGAAAATTTCTTTTCTCATTAGTGTTGCTATTTGACACAAGTTTTCAACTAGTCTTTGAGTAGTTTCTTACTGCATCAATAAGCTTAGGTAGTTGAAACAATTTCTGAAATATTTTTATTTGTATAATCCTAAAAATACATAACATATTATAATGCTCAAGTATATTTACCTATCCAGAATATTCAATTTCCTGCCTATATTAAATAGTACATTATTTTCTTTTTTTTTTCTTTTAGAGGAAGGGTCTTGCTCTGTTGCCCAGGCTGGAGTGCAGTGGTGAGATTATAGCTCAAGTGATCCATCTGCCCCAGCTCCCTGAGTAGCTGTGACAACAGAGATGCACCACCACACCTGGCTAATTTTTAAAAGTTTTTTTTTTTTTTGGTAGGGATGGGATCTTGCTATGTTATTTAGGCTGGTCTTGAACTCTTGGCCATATGCAATCCTCCTGCCTTGGCCTCCCAAAGTGGTGAGATTATGGGTAATACCTACTACACTCAGTCTATTTTTTTTATTTTAAGTACATTACTGAACACTATATAAAAATAATACCAATCACATATTGCACCTAGGAATTCCTCTAAGGAGAGTAGCAAATATCTTCCCATGCATGTGTGTATGCATGCATGTTTACAAAAACATTTGAGAAAAATTTTTGAAAATCCTTAATTTCTGTTGATTTTCCTCCATAGTTTTATGAGGCTGACAGTATCTACTAAGTGGCTTACAAAATATTTTCTCTACCTATTTAATTGAATAACTGATCTAAATATTGGTTATGAAACCACTTATACAGAGCTTTATTGGACCATCTAGTATTTTTAGGTTGGTCTACATTATTAGTTCATTGAGTGAAGGAACAGTTTTAATTGTCTTTGAACTCTTAGACCTCAACAGTGGTTTGGCAAATAAGTAGGTTGTATAATTCATTCTCACACTGCTATAAAGAACTACATAAGGCTGGGTGATTTATGAAGAAAAGAAGTTTAATTGACTCACAATTCTGTAGGCTGTAAAGGAGACATGGCTGGGGAGGCCTCAGGAAACTTACAATCATGGCAGAAGCAAGGGGAAAGCAAGCACATCTTCACATTGCTGGCAGGAGAGAGAGCGAAGGGGAAAGTGCTAAACACTTTCAAACAACCAGATCTCGTGAGAACTTACTCATAAGACAGCACTAGGGGGATGGTGCTAAGCCATTAGAAACCACTTCCATGATTCAGTTACCTCCCACTAGGGCCCACCTTCAACATAGGGGATTAAAATTTTATATGAAATTTAGGTAGGGACAAAGATCTAAACTATATCATAGGTATTCAATAAACACACACTGAAGGAATGAATGAACTAATGAATGAGAAGCAGAAACTTCCCAAATTGACAAGCCATAAATGCGCAAAATATTTTAAAGACAAACAAAGTAATATGAAGCCCTAATATTTTGTTTTGTTTGCTATTTATTTCCTTTCATTCATTCCTGGCACTGGAGAGATATAACTGAACAAGAAAAATTAGACTCTTGACCTCATAAAGCTACATTTTCTGGTAGAGTCAAGCGATAAAAAACAAACATGCGGGCTGGGCGCGGTGGCTCATGCCTGTAATCCCAGCACTTTGGGAGGCCGAGACGGGCGGATCACGAGGTCAAGAGATCGAGACCATCCTGGCTAACACAGTGAAACCTCATCTCTACTAAAAATACAAAAAATTAGCCGGGCGTGGTGGTGGGCGCCTGTAGTCCCAGCTACTCGGGAGGCTGAGGCAAGAGAATGGTGTGAACCTGGGAAGGCGGAGCTTGCAGTGAGCCGAGATCGCGCCACTACACTCCAGCCTGGGTGACAAAGCGAGACTCTGTCTCAAAAAAAAAAAAAAAACAAAAAAAAAAAAACATGCAAACAAAAGAAATAAGGAAATAAAGAAAGAGGATATTAGACACTAAGGCATGCAGTGAAGAAAACAGGCCAGGGTAAAATAATAGAAAGTTACTTGGAAATAAGAAATGCAATGTTGAAAAGAAGACCAATGGAGGTATGTTTAAAAGGTGACAGTTTTCTAGGTGCCATGGGTCACACCTGTAATCCCAGCACTTTGGGAGGTCAAAGCCAGAACATTACTTGAGCCCATGAATTCAAGACCAGCATGGGCAACATAGTGAGACCCCATATCACCAAATTTTTTTTTTTTTTTTTTTGAGATGGAGTCTCGCTCTGTCACCCAGCCTGGAGTGCAGTAGCGCAATCTTGGATCACTGCAAGCTCCGCCTCCTGGATTCACACCATTCTCCTGCCTCAGCCTCCCGAGTAGCTGGGACTACAGGCACCCACCACCACGCCCGACTAATTTTTTGTATTGTTTAGTAGAGACGGGGTTTCATCATGTTAGCCAGGATGGTCTCGATCCCATATCACCAAAATTTTTAAAATTATTCAGGCATAGTGGTGTGCACCTGTGGTCCCAGCTACTCTGGAGGCTGAAGCAAGAGGATCACTTGAGCCCAGGAGTTCAAGGTTGCAGTGAGACATGATCATGCCATAGTACTCTACCCCAAAAGAGAAGGTGACAGTTGAGTTGAAGCCTGAGTGGTGAGAGGGACCCTTCATATGAAAATTAGGGTGCAGAGCTATCTGTGCAGAGAGGAGAGAATGTGCAGGGCCACTGAGGTGGCAGCCAGGTTTTAAGAAACTGTGCTTTGGCTAAAAGAGGAGAATTGAAGAAGAGTCAAATAAGATGAGATCTGTGTAGATATAATCTAGGTACAATGGGAAGTACTATAGATGGGCTATTTGTGTCCGTCCTCCCTCCCCAAATTCCTAAGTTAAATTCTTACACCCAATGTGATTGTATATGCAGGTGAGCTCCTTGGAGGTGATTAAATTATGAGGGCAGAGCCCTTATAAATGGGGTTAGTACCCTTATAAAAGGTATCACAGAGAAATATGGCTCTCCAGCCGTGTAAAGACACAGGTAAAAAACAAAAACAAAACAGCTGTTTATGAACAAGAAAGCAGGTCCTCACTAGACATCTAATCTTCAGGCACCTTGATCTAGGATTTGCCAGCTTCCAGAACTGTGGGAAATAAATTTCTGTAGTTTATAAGCTACCTGGTTGATGGTATTTTGTTACAACAGTCTGAATGTACTGATAGGAAGGTAGTACAACATAATGTCAGTTCTTAGTTGGAAGTGATTGAATAGTTTCAAATAATGGAGTGGCGTGTTCTTATTGAAGCTTAAAAGGTTGTTTTGGCTTCTAATGGAAAAATGGATTGTTCAGGGATGATTGTGAGAACAATGAAGTCTCCTGTCACGGTCCAATCAGGGATAGTGGTGATGTAAATGAAAGTGAGGGTTGCAATTGATGTGAAGAAAAATGAAGTGATTAATGTTATCTTTGGAGATGAGTTACCAAGAGCTGCTATTGGATTGGATGCTGGGGAAAGTGAGAGAACAAGAGTCATGAGCTGATTCGCTGGGGATGTTATCACCAAGTACTAAGATACATAACACAGCAAGAGGATTAGGCATTGCAATTTTGTGGAATCATGCATATTATTTTGGACATATTGGGTTTGAGATGTCTGTTCGTTATCCAAATATAGAAATAAAATAATCAACATCATCATTATCATCGTATTGACTAACATTATTGCTCACTTACTACATGTCAGACTGTGTTCTAGATTCCTTATATAGATGGATTATTTATCCACAAACATTCATTGGGGCAGGTAGGATTAATTACCCACATAATACAGATGAGAAAACAAGCAGAGTGTTACGTAACTTGCTCAAGGTCACACTGTTAGAATATACTAGAGACAAAATGAGACAATGATTTTGGAATTATTAGAATATCCATAGAGTAAAAAAAGTAAGAGGAGGTGTTCTAAGACTGAATCCAGGACACTAGATATATAGAGGTCAATTAAAGGAGGAGAAACCAGTAAAGGAGAGTCAGATGGAGCACCAGGGAGGTGAAGGAAACCCAAGCCTGTGTAATCACAGGATCTCAAGGTGTCAGCTGTATTGAACGCTGTTGAGATGCTGAGACAGGTGGTCACAAACTGGGACCATTGGGGTTGGCAAGATGGAATTAGTGGGAAATCTTAACAAAGAAACTTTAAGTGCTAAGAACTAGACCCCAGTTGTAATGAGATGAGAAAAAAAAAAGGGATATGAGGAGCTGGGACAGTGGCTGCAGAAAACTTTTGAGGAGCTTGGTCTTTTAGAAAAGCAGAGGTGTGATGGTGCTTTTTGGCAAGGGGGAATATGAGTTTTCTAGGTCTTCTGTAAGAAATTAACATACACTTTTTTTTCTGTAAGATATCAGTGCACGCTTGTGGCTTAAAACTAGAGAAACATGTTCTCACACCCAGGGATGCCAGAAATCTTAAATTAAGGTGTCTGCTATGCCCCCTCCAAAGGCTCTAAAGCAGAATCTTTCCTTGCCTCTTTTGTCTGATGGCTCCAGACACTCCTTGGCTTTGGTTAAATAACTCCAATATCTGCTTTCATTTCCATAGGGACTTCTCTTCTATGGGTCTCTACAACAAGACAACTGTAGTTAATAATATATATTGAATACTGAAAAAATATTAAAGAGGATTTCAGATGCTCTCACAACAAAACTTAAAGGGAACTATGTGAGAATTTAATAGGGAAATAAAGATGATTATGGATTTTAGCATGCAGGGTGTGCTCGAAGCCTGAGGTGTAATAATAGCTGGAGGAACTAAAGATATCAGTTGGTTCAAGAAACACCCTTAGGGCTGGGCACAGTGGATCAGCCTGTAATCCCAGCACTTTGGGAGGCCAAGGCAGGCAGATCACTTGAGGTCAGGAGTTCAAGACCAGCCTGGTCAACATGGTGAAACCCCATCTCTATTAAAAATACAAGAAATTAGCCAGGCTTAGCGGCACGCGCCTGTAATCCCAGGTACTCAGGAGGCTGAGGCAAGAAACTCACTTGAACCCAGGAGGCGGAGGTTTCAGTGAACGGAGATCACTGCACCACTGAACTCTAGCCTGGGCAATAGAGCAAGCCTCTGTCAAAAAAAAAAAAAAAAAAAAAGAAAAAAGAAAAAAGAAACAAACTTAGGAGAGAATCATGAAAATTTAGATACAGAAATGGTGGTTTAAAAATTTTTGTTTAACCGCATATTGTCACTCATAAGTGGGAGTTGAACAATGAGAACACATAGACTCAGGGAAGGGAACATCACACACCAGGGCCTGTCAGGGGATGGAGGGCTAGGGGAGGGATAGCATTAGGAGAGTTACCTGATGTAGATGGTTGATGGGTGCAGCAAACCACCATGGCACGTGTATACCTATGTAACAAACCTGCACGTTCTGCACATGTATCCCAGAACTTAAAATATAAAAAATTTAAAAAAAATTTTTTTTGTTTAAATCAGAAGCAAAAGCATTTAGAAAAGTATATAGTTTACTCACAAGACTCCAAGTGTTAACAGCACTGGTTTACTATATAAAAAACATACACACACACACAACACACAAACACATACACGATGACGAAGGTTAGTTACTGAACTTACAGTTAATTCTTTTCTTGGTGGGAAAATAGCAGTTTTCTCAGATGACTGTCACACTAACATTTTAAAAATCATTGATAAAATTATTATTTGTCGTTAGGGAGTCAATAACTTACAGGAAATATTTAAAATATTTAAAATTTCACTTGTCTTATGGACTAAAGCAAGAGAGACTTTTTTTGTTGTTATTTTTTTTTTTTTTTTTTGAGACAGTCTCTCTCTGTCGCCCAGGCTGGAGTGCAGTGGTGCGGTCTCGGCTCACTGCAGCCTCCGCCTCCCCAGCTCAAGTGACTCTCCCACCTCAGCCTCCTGAGTAGCTGGTATTACAGGTGTATGTCACCCCTCCCGGCTGATTTTTGCTAGAGACTGGTTTCACCGTATTGTCCAGGCTGGTCTCGAGCTCCTGGCCTCAAGTGATCTACCTGCCTCAGTCTCCCAAAGTGCTGGGGTTACAGGAGTGAGCCCCCACACTCGGCCTGATGATTTTAATAGCCCAATTACCTAAAATGAAAGCATGGCACTGTTTCCATAGATGTCAAACCAAATCCTCTACAGTAAAGGCTGATACCTCTTCTGGATTTTTTTTTCATTGTCATATTATTTAAAATATATTTTTTGTCAGCAGTTAAATATAAGGTTTAAAAATAACAACTGGCAGCACAATATGAGAACCATAAGCTGATCTAGGCTGAGGAAAGCCTACTGCCTTTAATGGGTTGGTTATGCCCTTGGATTGCCAGTCAATATCATTTCTCCTTGTCTTAATCACATAGGTGTTTCCTGCTTAGCAGTAGTAGACATTTAGATTTTCAACTCATGCTCCAACATTCTCCCCTTGAGTGACCTTGGATGACTAGCATAAAGAAGGAAGTCAGGAGAGAAAATCAGTTTGGATATGATCATGCCCTGCAAAACGAAGGAGAGAGGAAAGATGATGAAATTTGTTTGGGGTCTGCTTATTGAGGTCACAGTGTGTCAAGCGTGGAGAGAGAAGACAGCTAAACTTAGGAAAGAGGTTTGGGCTTGATATAGCACACCTGACTGGCATTCAAGTAATGGATAAAAAATAATGTAATGGGAATGAGTCAATTCTCTGTGAAAGTTCTATAGAGAAAGAAGAGAAGGCCTCAGATTGAACCTTGGAAATTCTCATACTAGATGTTGAGCGGGTGGCTGGCTACATATTACTGAAAAAAACAAAAACAAAAACAACAGCCTGAGAATAAATCAGTCAATTTTCTTAAAAAAGAAGGAAAATGTATCATAAGTTGACTTTTTTTTTATTTTGTTGACAGTATTCACAAATACTGTTTCATGGTGAATGTTGAGGAAGCACTTTTACATATATTAAATAATTTGCTATTTTAAAATGTGAAGCTGGTTTTGTTAAAGTGACTGATGGGAATATACCAATACTCTAAAAGATAGGTGGTTTATAAATGTAAAATTTTGCGGCTGCATTATTTGCTATTTTTACACATATGCACTAGTAATTGCAATACTAATTCAGTAGAAATGCATCTTATTAAATTATAATTTTATGACAAAACAATGGCATTTTCCTGGTTTCTAAGAGAGTCCGGCATATAATTGAATTTTGCAAGGTATCATAAGCTTTCCATTAAACTACAAAACCAGATAATGATAAATCTAGATGAATTAGTCTAACCTCACTTAAAATGCATTTTTAATTTTACAGGCAATACATTAATTCATTCTGCATATTAAACAAATAAAACTTTACAAGTAAATGTAAATGTCTCTTTGACCACACCCTTAATCCTGATCATTTCCCACTTCCCTAGAGGTAATCACTGCTATTAGTTTGCTGTATATCCTTCTGGAACTATATCATGTACATATTTATTTATATTGAGATAAATCTATATGTTCTAAAATGGAAAAATATCCAAAACCCATTATGGAATGAAGAAACGAATTATACTCTGGTACGTCTATTATGATATTATAAATATAAAATAAGCATACATAGACAGAACAATACTACATATGTTCTACAAGTTCCCATTTCTACCTCCTCCTCTTCCTCTTTCTCTTTCCTTCTCCTCTTCCAGCTCCTCTTCTTTTTCTTCTAACTACCTTTATGGTGATAGCTCTTATCTATATTTTAGGTTCACATCTTTCTTCTGCATTCCTGACCCACATTTCTAACTAATAGATATCTTAATCTACTGCTCCACAGACATCTTAAGTAAAATATAAAAGCCGCATTTTTATCTTTCCACATTTACTTTCTCCTCCTTCTCCTTTCCCTCTTTTGGTTAATATGCTATAATTTACATAATCTAAGTTTTTCAGCTTCCTATTCCTCAAATCTCTTACTGTCTTGGATCCCTAAATCACTTAGCCTTAATGCCTATCAAATCTACTTTTTTCTGTATATTTCTATTGCCACTTGTCTTATTTTAGTTTCTTGAACTTTTCATTTGGACTATTGTAATAGCTTTGCTCTTTTCTTTCTACTTCTATTCCAGTGGTTCACCAACTTTGTTGGGCACAAGAATTACCTAGGGAGATGTTCATTCCCTTAATTCAAACCTTTTCCATCTAGGCCATACCAGTCCTGTTAATTTAGGTCAGTTGTTTTTTAATTCTTTGGGGTACTGAAATTAGAATTATAGCTGTATGTTTTTAAAAATTGCTTCCTTTGGGGTTCTCCAAAAGTTAAATGATTTGTGGGCTGAGATTTCCAGGAATGCTAACTATCTATATGCAGTTTTCTTCCTTTTTGGATGACTTATTGTCATATGTTTTTTCTGATACATAAATCTTAAGATTATGACAAGAATAATTTTCTAATATTTTAGCTAATCCATGGCAATTTATGATGAGAATTATGCCACAGTCAATATTGAAAGAAAGTGATTATTGGTGTAAAAAATTCATGAAAGATTTCAAGATTTATAGTGCTCTGTTAGAACTATGATATGAGACTATTCTGGAGCTAAGACTTTTTCTAGTAGGCATACTTAAGCTAATAAAAGAGATTTATTTCTTTGAAAAGACCACTTTTTTTTTAAATGGTGCTATCTTTGTTGAAAATTCCTACTTAAAACTGTTTCTTCTTCACAAATGTCTTCAAGGCCTGTATATTGATTATAAATAAGAGAATTTATCTGATTAGTGTTATTAACAGGATATTCTTCTTTGTTCTGTTACCTTTCTCTAATGTTTTCCTACTCATACCTACATGATTTGATCACATTTTTTTTTTGCCTATACTATCTTGCAGTTTAATGATACCTGTGGATCTCCAGAAACAAACTGTCTTGGTGATGAGGGTTCTATAGGTCCACTAAAATTAAGAATTAGGAAGTCAATGTTAAATTCAATAGGAACAAACATAAGTGGTTTAAGTCCCTATAAGGGCTGCCTTGCAGTGTGTTGTGAATTGAACATATGTGGCTCCATGGGTAATTAGTAAATTGTTAAATTAAATTTGAAAATCTGCGTTATGTCTACAGGTATACCACCCTGAACACAGCTCATCTCATCTGAAAATCTGTATTAATCTGGGATATCCACAGAAATAGAACCTATTTTCTCTCTCTCTCTCTCTCCATATATATACATTATCTAGATAAATAAAATAAAGTCTATATAGTTATATATTTTATATTTTATATGTACATATAAAGACTATAGAGACTTTATATTATAGAAACATTATATGTTTCTCTTTATGTGTGTGTATATATGTGTGTGTATGTATATAATATATATACATATGTAGGGTAATAAAAGAGATTTATTTCTTTAAAAAGACCACTTAACTTATGCCTAGCGTTCCATTATTGGAACGCTAAGCATACAGGAGTTATTTATAACCTACTGCTTAAGGTCATTGCCAAGGTCTGATTGCAAACATTTAAAAAATTGCAACCTCAGACATAAATGGGTTACAAATGGTGCTATCCCTGTTGAGAATTCTTACTCAAAAATGTTTCTTCATATATATGAGAGAGAGAGATTTTAAGAAATTAGCTCTAGAGGCTGGGCACCATGGCTCACACCTGTAATCCCAGCACTTTGGGAGGCCAAGGAGGGCGGATCACGAGGTCAGGAGATCGAGACCATCCTGGCTAACACGGTGAAACCCCGTCTCTACTAAAATACAAAAAATTCGCTGGGGGTAGTGGCGGGCGCGTGTAGTCCCAGCTACTCGGGAGGCTGAGGCAGGAGAATGGCGTGAACCCAGGAGGCGGAGCTTGCAGTGAGCCGAGATAGCGCCACTGCACTCCAGCCTGGGCAACAGAGCGAGACTCCGTCTCAACAAAAAAAAAAAAAAAAAGAAAAGAAAAGAAAAGAAATTAGCTCTGGAGACTGGCGGGGCTGAGAGGCAGTTGGGATGGCAATCTAAAATCTGTATGGCAGGCTGGAAATGCAGGCAATGTTGTCATCTTGAGGAAAATTCCTTCTTCCTCAGGAAAAGCTGTCTCTTTATTGTCCTCTTCTCCCTGTCTTCCCCATTTCTCAATTTCCTTTTTAGTCTTTTTCTCTTCTCTTCCCTCATTTTCTCTCTCCCTCCCTTCCTCCCCTTCTTTCTCTGCTTAGTCTTTTTCCTTCTTCCTTGATTTTTAAAATAAATTTATTCTGCGTGCATTCATTCATTAACAAATGAATTGGGTTCCTTTACTTCACAATATAGTCCATATTCTCTAGGTTTCAAAGCCAATGACATACTTTTAAGTCATTAGAAAAAACCACTGTTGAGAGTGATGGCTGAATATTCTCTCATAGTGTGAAATTTAGATTCTTGCTCTTGTATATTCTTGTTACCAAATATTGGTCTAGAATTTCAAACATTACAAGCTTACTATTAAAATATTACAATGTGATTAACTTAGGTAAAGTTTTACTCATATATGGTCTTAAATCTACCATTTGCAGAAAACTGGGAATACAGGTGACAAAATCATATTGAACATAACTAGTGAGAGTATATTTTTCTTGATGCAAAAGAAAGTGCCTAACATTACACCTGATTTACAACCAGATATAGTAATTTGCAGTTTACAGTACATTAATCTACAAATCAAAATGTACATTTCAACAATAAAAAGAAACAATGGCTTGGTCCTCTTGGAAAATTATACTTTTTGTTGAGTAGTGTAAGATTTTTTAGCTATAAATTGTAAACTTGTGAATTTGTCTAGTTTAGAGACTAAAGTCTAAAAATTAAACATTTTCAGATTTATAATTTAGATTTATTATAAATGGATATCTTCAATAACATGAACGTCAATTGCTGAACTTAAAGAATAGAACATATATAAAAGAAAATCTTGCATCAAAATTGCAATGACATAACATGGCAAATAAAAGATGTACTGCCAAATTAAATAATATGATGTGATTGACATGTACTTATTATTATTGTTTTTTGAGACAGAGTTTCGCTTTTGTTGCCCAGGCTGGAGTGCCATGGCACAATTTTGGCTCACCACAACCCCCACCTCCTGGGTTCAAGGGATTCTCCTGCCTCAGCCTTCCAAGTAGCTGGGATTACAGGAATGTGCCACCACACCTGGATAATTTTGTATTTTTAGTCAAGACGTGGTTTCTCCCCGTTAGTCAGGCTGGCCTCGAACTCCCGACCTCAAGTGATCCACCCGCCTCGGTCTCCCATAGTGCTGGCATTACAGGCGTGAGTCACAGCGCCCGGCCGACATATAATTATTATAATTGAAGAAAGAACAAAAAAGGTCTGTGTTACATAAACCCATTAGTAGGGACTAAAGATTGAAAGTCACCTTGGCTTATGTTTTCTGCAGTATCCCAGACTTTTACAATTGCCTTCTCTTTGGATTGAAACAGTTTCATTGTTGATAGTTACACATAAGGTAGTTTGTATTGACCAAAGAGATTTGTGAAAAAAATTTTATGGCGTTCCCAAACATTTTAATTGTGAACATTATCAGACCATCTATGAAGCAAATGATATGCAGTCTATGAGTATATATTAACTACTCTGAGGCTTTCAAAGTTACTCCAAAAATATGTGAAAATTTTACATATCAACATCTGGCCACATTTTCAAGTTGCTGCTTAATGCTCTATTGTAAAATCTTATAGCACATCAGTAAGAGGGCTTTTAACTCTTCACCAAACCTAGAACTTTACATCTGGCAAGCTTGCTATATTTTAATTCCTAGATTCAATAGTGGTAAATCAGCATCCCTTGCTTGTCAGGAACATTCAGTGATTTGGATACTGATCATTCTTATGTTAATAAATGTAGAATGGAATGCAATTCAGACATTGTTGGGCAATGTTTAACAAACTTTGTGTCTCTGAGACAACATTTATTTTGCACATTAAAATTTGATATTTCTGACACAAATCAAAATTTTCAGATAGAAAAAAATTAATGTACTACTTCCACAAGTATACTTTATTGCAAATATAATACAGGAAAATAAATATTTCTCCTTGATAACTGAAGTGTAAACACAAACACGGTAAAAAATGAAACATTTCAACCCAAAGAAATCTATTCATTTATGGGCACAATACCTTCTATTGTGCAACTTATTTATAATTGATAGTAAACATTATTAGACTATATGGATTTACTCTTTCCTGGCTATGTAGACAATTACAGAAAAGAGAGTTTTAGGGAAAAGAAGGAAAAAGGCCTAACAAATTTAAACATGCACACACACACACACACACACACAACCCATACTTACTGCTATTTTAAACAAACCTTCCATGCTTAGGGTGCATCTACATAGAATTAGGCTGCCAGAGCGAACAAAAAAAACAATATAAACATCACATATCTCTATTTAAATATGATAAGGAAGTCCATGTAAATTTTGTACTCTATTGAGGCACAAAGAAAATGACTAAAAAGTGTTTTTGAAAAATGAAACATTTTAACCTAAATAAATTTATTCATGTATGGGCACAACACCTTCTATTGTACAACTTATAAATAGATAATTAATATAAAACATTATTAGACTATATGGAATTTATTCTTTCCTGGATATGTAGAAAATTATGGAAAAGAGAGTTTTGGGGAAAAAAAGAAAAAAATTCAACAAATTGAAACACACACACACACACACCACTTACTCACTACTATTATAAATAAATCTGTGCTTGGGATGCATCTATATAGAAATGGGCTGCCAGAACAAACAAACAAAAAATGATAATACAAACAAAATGAAAACAATATAAAAACAAAATAAAAAACAAAATAATAATAATAGTGTGGACTGGATTCCACATGAGAATATGCCAGTCCAGTTTACAGGGTTATGTGTTATATACATACATAATATTGTGCATTTTTCTAATAATTATTGAATAACTATGCTAATAATTATTGAATAATTATATTCTAATGATTATTATTTTAAATAATTATTTTCTATAATAATAGAAATCAAATAGCAGTGTGTATTAGTTTCCTATTGTCACTGTAACAAACCACCACCAATTTAGTGGCTTAAATTACACAAATTTATAATCTTACAGTTGCAGAGGGCAGAAGTCTGAAATAGGTCTTACTGACTGAGATCAATGAGCAGGCAAAGCATGTTTCTTCTAGAGGCTGCAGGGGAGACTCTACTTCCTTGCCTTTTCCAGATTCTAGAGGTTGCTTGCATTTCTTAGCTTAAGACTTCTTCCTCTATTTTCAAAGACCACCATCTCAACCTCTGCTTTCATAAGCATCTGTCTCTGACTATGACTTTGTTGCCTCCTTTTTATACCTTCCTTATGATTACATTTGGATCACCTAGATAATTCCATCTCAAAAGTCTTAATCACATCTACAAAGTCTGTTTTACCATGTAAGGGACTATACTCACAGGCACTAGAGAAAAGCACAGGAACATTTTTAGTGGGAACAGGAGAGCATTCTCTACCATGCAGAAAAGCACTTACTAATTCATGTATGGGTTTATTTGCTAATATCAGTTCTTCTAAAAAAGCTAATCCCCTATTCTTATGTTCTTTATTGGTTTTACTTTTTAGTGGGTCTGGATACATTCAGTGTACCTTTTGGAGCTACAGAATCAGCTTTCTTGATCTAGGAAAGATTTCTGTTATTTTTCTTGCCCCTGCCATCTGTTCTGTCTATTACTTTTCTATCCTTGAGTTCTTACCACTTTTTAAATTTGATTGTGTCCATTTTTCATCTGTATTTCATACAATATCTGTTCTCAAAGAATTCTTTAGCTGTGGGCTGGGTATTGTCCATGTGCCCCCTCAGGTCTACATGGAACTATTGTTACTTTATCTCTCTCTATCCTCACTTTACCTGGGGAGGCTGAAGAGTATGAAACATATCCACGGGCTTCTCACTCTCTGGCTTCAGGAGATCTGAGGTAGGGAGCAGAATGAGAGCAGGGTGCATATGACCCAGCTCCCTCTCTCAATGTGCCCCAGGCCTCAGTGTGCAATTTCTTCCCTTCAGATTCAAATGCTCAGTCCTTTCACTTGTCCCTTCAGGTTTAGCAGGAGTGTGGCTGCTTCTGCTTCCCAGGTTGATGCTCTATCTCTTGGGCTTCCCCTATCTTCACACATTTGTAAATAGCCCTTTAGAAAATACACTCTCCTTGAATTATTCCAAGTGCCATTTTGCTTTCCATAAGGATCATTTCCCATTTTCTAATTTGTTAATCTTAATTTCTTGCAGTATCCAATTTGTTGTTGATTGACTCCACTGCAGATTTTATTCATCAATCTTTTTTTATCTTTGTATAGTCTTAGTATTTCCTAAGTCTTAGATTGTTTCCATATTACATAATACTTTCAGACATCATTGGTTTCTTAATTTGACAAAAAATTAAATTATTTTCAAAACAATTTTTTATCCTTAGGCATTACTCTAATGTCCCAACAGAAAATTATCCTTTAAAAATAATGTATCCTTTTACCTATCTGATGATTTTTCTATTTTCTTGTGCTCACAGTGAGAGTATATGCTTTCCTCATATTGAATGCTGAAACAGAGTCTGACCAACAGTCCAAATCCCTTAGGCCAAGATGAAGTTTTATTGAAAAAGTTTAAATTTAGCATAAGTTATCTTGACCATTTAATGATTTCTTGGGGGATTTCTTATGAGGAAGACGGAGACAGCCACAATTGTAGTTAACAACTTCTCTTTGCCAAAGGGGATAATTTAAAATGTTTCCTGTGAGAGCCAAAGACAGTCACAAAAAAGTGTCCCCACTTTTCACACTTTTTACCTGGAAATGGCCTTTATTACATCAATGGATTGAAAGTCACTCTTCCTGCTGCATTTTCTCCACTTGGTGCAGACTCTGTCACAGGAACACTTTCCAGAGTGGCTGCCAGAATGTGAGGCTCCCTTCAAATGTTTCAAGGGCCATGCCAGCCTCCAGCATTTACTTCTTGGCCTTAGCATTCTTCTGAACTCAATCGGAGAGTATTTGTTAATTTCAACATTTCTGTTTGTTTATTTATTAATTCCCAGTGTCATTGCATTATATTTGTGATATATAGTGTAAGTAATTTGTTTTGAAATTTACTTGAGTGTTGTTTTTAATGCCGAATAAACAGATGTTTTGTATGACGTAATCAGAACATTTACATTTTATCTCCCTTTTGAGAAATCTTTTTCCAGCTGTTCTTTTTTTTTTTCCTTGGATAAAATATAGAGTAAGTTCTGTAAATTTTCTGGTACCAAAATTTTCCATGATTTTGATCCTCCCCAAAATATCTGTTCAAGAATTAAAGTGTTGGCCGGGTGCAGTGGCTCACACCTGTAATCCCAGCATTTTGGGAGGCCGAGGCAGGAGGATCACTTGAGCTTAGGAGTTCGAGACCAGCCTGGCCAACATGGTGAAACCCCGTTTTTACTAAAAATACAAAAATTAGCTGGGTGTGGTAGCATGCACCTGTAATCCCAGCTACTTGGGAGGCTGAGGCAGGAGAATTGCTTGAACCCAGGAGATGAAGGTTGCAGTGAGCCAAGATCACAGCCACTGCACTCCAGCCTGGCGACAGAGTGAGATTCTGTCTCAAAAAAATAATAATAATAAAATAAAATAAAGTGTCAAGACTCACACTGGTCAAAACTTCCAAATTCATGTTAAGATAAATATTCTTTCCAACTATCTATGGAGATATCAAAATATATACATAAGACTATCATTGCCTTTAACTTGTCCTGAAGCAAAATTGCCCTTGGTACAGTTTATATAATATGTAGAATATGTTAATTCAGGGTTACATGACTCTAACCTCACCATCAACAACAATTATTTGAGCAACTCTAAATATATTTCCCCAAATGCATTATATAATATTCAAATTCTTGAAATTATTTTCTTTTGCTTATTTAGAAGTGAAACTTCTTAAACAAGTCAGACAATTCAAGTTGTTTTTAAAATCAATATTTATGCTGACATTCTCTCACATTTATTAGGAAAATTCCATTAACACATTCTTTTGTACGATCAAGGACAATTTATTATTTTCCTGGTGAGTCCTGGTCTTCCTTCTTACAACTTGTCACAGTTCATCCCTCTCTCAAGTTCCTGCTTAACTTTTCTTCTGTGATTTAACTTCTCATGTCTGCATTCAGTTCTTCCATTTTCTCCATGATTTTACTCTGTCTTGGAAGAGTT
This sequence comes from Homo sapiens, assembly GCF_000001405.40. Classification (NCBI taxonomy): domain Eukaryota; kingdom Metazoa; phylum Chordata; class Mammalia; order Primates; family Hominidae; genus Homo; species Homo sapiens. The sequence goes on along the minus strand of NC_000004.12, from coordinate 156,438,696 downwards.
TTTAAAATATAGAAAAGAAGAAAGGAGATAAAAGCGTTTAATTTACTAATTTACACACACACACAATTTTATTTTATTTTAAAATCTCTCCCCTGCCCTTTTTTTTTTTTTTTTTTTTTTTTTTGAGACAGAGTCTCACTCTGTTGCCCTGGCTGGAGTGCAGTGACGCAATCTTATCTCCCTGCAACCTCCACTTCCCAGGTTTCAGCGATTCTCCTGCCTCAGTCTCCTCAGTAGCTGGGATTACAGGAGTGCGCCACCACACCCGTCTAATTTTTGTATTTTTAATAGAGATGGGATTTCACCATGTTGGCCATTGACTGAAAAAAAGACATGATTTGAACTAACGTACATTTACAGTAGCCAAGGTTACTGACCTCAGGTGATTCACCCACCTTGGCCTCCCAAAGTGCTGGGAGTACAGGTATGAGCCACCGCACCCAGTCAAAAGTTCACCTTTTTTTCTAATCCTGTCTATGAATCCTATCTTTTGAGGTTCATTGCTTTTTTTTTTTTTTTTTTTACAAAAAAGACCTGGAAAAAGTCTAGACATAAACATTTCTATAAAGAGGAAGATTTAGGGACCTCACATAAAACTTACACAGCTACAGGAAGCTTCTCCCAGCTACAGAATCACTTTTTGCTTTATAGGGTGTGATTCTGTTTACTTTATTCAAGACTTCAAGATTTATTTTTAATTTGATTCGCCTATTGAGAGCAATGCAATATTTAACCAGCCTCTGATTTCCTGATCTTTTTCCTCCCATGGTTCTGAAGCTTCCCAGATGTATGCACAGCAGGCTCTGACATCCTGTTACAGACGTTAATAGATTTCACCCTTGCAAGTTGTCCTTTATGACTGCTCCTCCATTCAGGTATTAAAGAGTTCCCTACTATGCTGTAACCTTGGCTACTGTAAATTTACATCAGTTCAAGTCATGTTTTTTTTTTTTTAGACAAAGTGTATGCACCTTGTCTTCAGCTTTCAAGGAGGCTGTCATATAACACCAGAGAAAGCTGGCAACTTTATGTGAAACACATGGTGAGCCCCCAACACTGGCCAATTAATGACCAGAATGCAAAGCAATTTAAACAAGGAGGGAAATAAGCTCTAGTGTCTAAAGGAAAACAAAACAAAATAAAACAGTGAGAATACAATTATAAGAATTAAAATCCAAAAGGTAGTTTCTCAAAGCTTCAACAAAAAAATATGATAATAATAATACTTCCACTTCTCATGAAAGTAAAAGCCTCTGAAAGCTCTCATCTAGAATTTGAAAGTGGACTGTGGACCACAGGGGAAAAGATGTTGCAACTGAGAGCATCTATAAGGTATCTAAATGTTGACCTTTCCTTCTTTCCTTGCAGAGCAATGAATTAGGAGAGATTATTTGTGCAAAGGTAAATTTGAGAGCGGATTTGAAGACAATGTCTTAGAATCATAATCTGTTGTAACTGAAAGAATATAGAGGTAATTCAATAAAATCTAAAAGAGAAATTTTACAAAAGAGATAACTTATATATTCATTATGAATTTATATTAAAAGTATGTTCATCATAGACTATGTCTTACTCCTATTTTTGTCCCTTAATCTTTAATATTTGCTCCTCATACAAATGTAGGGAATACATTCTTTCTGTTCTACAACATTTTTAACTATGCCTATAGAGACAAGGCCCTGAAGAGAAAAGGAATTCTTTTTTCAAAAAGTATGCCACCTTGTTTAACTTTTTAAGGTAAAATTCTTCCAAATTGAGGAAAATTTTAAAACTTAGAAAAATATCCGATTATCCATTTACTAAAGCTATAGATCTGGTTTTTCAGACTATTCTATAATAAAATAATTTAAAACCTTTTACTTTTTTCCGGCTCAGAAACATTATACCTATAAATTTGGAAAAGACAATATACGTATGAAGCAGAGTTAAAAATCATCACTCATTCAACAATTTGGTCACTTACCCTTCTTAGAATCATTTTCTATATACAGATTTGTAACATACCCTGTGATTTTAGCAATATTTTAAGGAATTTTTATCCTCTTAAATGTTCAGTTTATTTTGATAACTGTATAATATTTTATCATATAGATATATATCCTAGTATGTGTGTATATGTATGCGTCTATATTACAGCCACCATCATTTAGTTTCAGGAATTAGTTATAAGTAATATACTTAGTTTTAAACATTTTTACCTAAAGGCCTTTCCCTAAATTAAAAAATTTATTTAGGATAGATGCCTGTGAGTGTCCAATACATACTAACGTTTTTAAAGGTCACTTTCCCCCCAATAATTATTGCCAGTTTTTGCTCTTCCACTTGTATATAAAACTACCTGCCTCACTTCAAATCTGCCAGCAGTGAATTTTTTTAGGTGATCTTATCAGGCAAGATCAGGCCAGACAGTCATTGATTAATTCATAAAACCAATTAAAGTGGAAATCATTAAAAATATACCTACGTGTTTTATAATTTTTGTAATTCCAAACGTGCATCTGTGAATTAATTGGCCTCCCTTTTGATTTAGAACCAAGCGTTTTTCTTTAATTTACCAATTTGCTATTACTTTTCTTGCATATACCACACTCACCTTGCGTCACTCTAATTTTCTGTTTCTATTTTTTTTTTAAATGAAGCAAGAACCAAGGACCCTTGTAAAGCAATCAGACGCCTGTAATCCCAGCACTTTGAGAGGCCAAATCAGGCAGATCACAAAGTCAGGAGATCGAGACCATCCTGGCTAACACAGTAAAACCCTGTGTCCACTAAAAATACAAAAAAAAAATTTAGCCGGGCGTCCTGGCACGCGCGCCACGGGAGGCGGAGGCAGGAGAATCGCTTGAACCCTGGAGGCGCACATTTCAGTAAGCCAAGATCGTACCACTGCACTCCAGCCTGGGCAACAGAGCGAGACTTTGTCTCAAAAAAAAAAAAAAAAGTCATCAGAGTGTAGAATTCTTCAGAACTTTAAAGGAAATTTTTACTTTCTCTTCTTATGTTGTCTTATCCAGATTTAATTTGACATGACTATTTATGGGAGTTCCTTTTACACTTTTCAAAGCATATAACTTATTTTTTATGAAAATAGCAACTTCTTTCAATTTGAGTTTATTGATTTGGGTATTATTTAGTTAAAATGCATCAGTTTGACATCAAACTGAAAATATCACTTTTTTAGGAAAAAATAAGTGAAAAGACTGACGGAGCATGGACTACAAGGTGCTAGAAACAATTCAATATTTTTCATACATATTATTTCATTTTTATGTTCCCAATATATTTTTGAAGGGCATATTCCCATTTTACAGACATTTAATCTTAAATTCTAAGAGTTTAGATAACTTTGCCAAAATAATAATCTAGAAAGTACCTGACTTGAGATTAAAATGTAGATGTGATTTATCCCAAAGTATAGAAAATGTATCTATGCTTGTAAATTGCACTATGATGTCAACATATTTAAATACTTATCAATGGATTCCAACTAACTTTATAAACTTTTCTCTAGTGATACAACAAATAGCATTTTGAATCAGGTAATCTTTTGAATAAAGAAAGAGTATGAACAGTTTTTTCTTGTTCAAGGAAATGCATTTTATCATTTTTTTGGAAATAATTTCAAACTTACAAAATGTTGCGAAAATAAAACCTCACTAAGAGCACCTGTATACTTTTTAAAGTGATTCACCTGTTGTTTACATTTTACCTCCATTGCCTTATCATTTGCATTTTCTCTATCTCTATCAATAGATACATAGGATACAAACTTTTCCAAACTACTTAAAGGTAACTAATATTAATTATGGCCTTTACCACCAATTACTTTTGTGTGTATGAGAATAGGAATATTCTCTTACATAACCACAATAATCAATGTTACAAATTTATATTGATATATTAATACCTTTAGCTAATCTGTTTATATTCCAGTTTTGTTAGTTGATGTAATAATGTTATGTTCATTGGTTTCCTTCTTCCAGTATGAGATCCAGTCCAGGATCAGTAGAGTTAGATATTATATTTAGTTGTTATTTCTCCTTAGCTCCCTTTAATCTGGAACATTTACATAACCTTTCTTTATCTTTTATGACATTGACATTTTAAAGAATACCATCTCCCCAGCCTTTTGTTTTTGAATAAAATATTCATCATACCATGTTTTCCAATGCCTTCTCATGCTTATATTGTGATTATTCATTCAGGATGGCATCTGCAAAGTGTTGTATAGGTGCTGTTGATTATCTGATCAAGGTGTTGCCTGTTTTTTCCACTGTATAATTACTGTTGCTTTTCTTCCCTGCCTCAACTGCAACTAGAAGCAGTCTCTGAGCTACAGTATAAGTCGGTGAAAATGTTATTAAAATTTTCATCTAGATTTATTATCCATTGATAATGGTTCTCTGATCCAATCATATTATAATGATTGTGAAGTGATGATTAACCAGTCATCCTCTCTTCCACATTTACCATTCATCCCTTAGCATTCTGCTGTTGGCAAAAGATGTCCCTCTTATCTATCTATCTCTCATCTATCTATCTATCTATCTATCTATCTATCTATCTATCTATCTATCATCTATCCATTTATTCATTCATTTTTTATAGTCATGGATATGTAAGTACCTATATCTTCAGTGATTTAAAATGTATCACTGTTCTTAATGATTTTGGTGTTCATATCATCCCAGATTTGGTTAATAGTAGCAAATTAAATGTTCACTTTGTGTTCTTGTGATATGTGTATTTTAAATCACTTCATATTTTGTGGAGAAATAGAATACACTAGGCTCATCTTATGCATGCCCTGCCCCAGCCCCAGCAAAAAACCCTGGATCATATTAGTGAAAAATGGTATCAAAGACCAAGCTCTGGGCACAAGGTGTGCTCATTGATACTGGGCTGTGTTCACTTCTTAACAGCAGCCAGAACTAGGAACTGTATTCATGAATATATATGTATTTGCAAATATAAAACACTTATAAATATATAAAACCACACATATATACCTATGTACACAAACACACATACTTGAGAAATCTCACACATACAAATTGTAATAGTAATGATTTCATATCAATAGCTCCAATTCTAATCCATTCCCACAGTGTTTTCTTTCTTGCCCTCACTCATTCCATATTTGTGTGTCCCTTTAAGAAATACTTTTGTTAATGAACTGTTTTGGTGATCTTTTGAAAAATTTAAAAGCTATATCACCTTTTTATTAGTGATTATATAAGGGCATATAGTACATGCATACATATATGCATGTAAGTTGTATGTATTGTAAGCAGATGTAAAGCTAATGTAGGAGAGGAAAAGAAAAAAAATAAAACCATACTGCGGTAAGATGATATCTTTATCAGCATCAGTGAAGAAATATCTTTTAATGATATTAGCTAAGGTGCCTGAGTAGCTCCAAAAATACCATAATGCCTGCCTGCCCATGACTGGCCATCAGGTGAAATGTAGTCTTGTGACACCTTGGTCCACTTACCAGTATCCTCATCTTCCTCTTCATAAAGTAGTTCTTGGCCCCTCTGGTTGACAGTTGATGGTTTTGAGACAAAAAACAAAACGAATTATTTTTGTGGGATAAGAAGATGGATTTTAATGCTTTCTGTAAAAGGTTGAGAGGGTAGTTGGGACAAGGCACTGCTGCAATGGTGGGGAAAAATAAGTAACAACATAGAACTACAGTAGATCTTGTCTGAAAAAAAAATCCCAGATCTTGGCTGATTTTAATAAATGGGAAATATTTGACATAAAAAAGTCATTTAAATTTGTTGTGATACACTTATGTTGTTTAATTTATAGTATAGTAACTTAAGCAATTAAAATGTTATAGCCTGGATTGTATATACATTTATATTCTTCATGCATCATTTATAGCAATTATATCCTAGTTTTCTGGAGTAGTTGGGGGTCAGTAAGTGTGAAATAATTTAATTTTTTAGTCTCCCTTGGGTCCAGGTGGCACACTCTTAAGTTTACCCACCAAAGAAAAATCTTTAAGTGAAGCCTTTAAAAGAAAGTACAATAGGATCAGAAACCTGCTGACTAGAGCACAATGCTATAAAAAGGCACAAAACCCTTTTCCATTACTGTTAAACAAAAAGGATACAAAATTCTCCAGCAAAAATCATTGAAAACAACTAAAGGTATTTGTATGTTAATGATAATATGAGACAGAAAGGAGCATCACCTTATTTTGTGTGTCTGTGTTTAAGAAGATAAATAGATGTTGTCTTAGTTCATTTTATGTTGCTTATTAACAGAATACCTGATAGTAGGTAATTTTTAAAGAAAATAAATTCATTTCTTATAGTTATGGAGGGTGAGAAGTTCCAGGTTGAGGGTCACGTCTGGTGAGAGCCTTCTTCCTTGTGGGGGACTGTCTGCAGCGTCCTTAGTCAGCTCAGGCCATCACATAGCAAGGAGGCTGAGAGTGCTAGCTTAGGCTTCTCTTCCTCTTCTTATTAACCAGTTCCACTCTCATGATAACACATTAATCCATTAACCCATTAATCCATTAATCCATGAATGGATGAATCCATTCATGAAGGCCCTGCCTCTTAAAGTCCTATCTCTCAATACTGCCACATTGGGGATAAAATTTCTACGTAAGCTTTGGAGAGGACAACTATTCAAACCATAGCAGACATACATGTTACATACATGATACAGAAGGGGACTATGGCCTTCCATAAAAAATGATTTCTGAACAAAGTTAAGCTAGTACATGAGGAATGATAGGACAATATTCAGTCAAATCTACTTTATAATCTTGACTTACTCATAAGGAATGAGAATACGCCAACTCACTACACCTCATTTCCCTTTCTTTTTCATGTTTTTCAAATCCCATTTTTTCTGAGGCCAATCCTAGAGAAAACTGTGCTTTATGATATCCTAGTATGATATAAAGATTCCAAAATCAGTTGATTAAAATTAATTATTTTAGAATAAGAATGAGACAATATGTCAGTTTTTCTTAGTTACTTATTGAAAGCCTTTATATACCATTGTGAATACTGTGCCAAGTAAAAAAGACATGGTTCCCACCACCAAAGACTAGTGAAGAAAGTTATCAAGTCAATAGATACTTAAAATACAGGGTACTCAGTGTTACAATATTGACTTATATGTTCCTAATGGAAGACACTGGATTGGCAACCAAGCCAGACTTGGGGTATCAAGAAAGCCATCTTAGATTATGTGAGGTCTAACCAGGAGTCGAGGGAGGTGGAGCCACAGGGCTGTGGAGATGTCATAAGCAGGAACCTAAAGGAAGGGAGGCAAAAGGTGATGGCAGCCAACACCGAAATAGTGTGGCTTCCTCTAAGACATAAGCATCATTCTTTCATTTCAACAGGAACCAAGACAACAGAGGAGCCATGTAGGAGCTCTAGGGCATTCTTACTTGGTGAGATGTTTTTTCACCTTCCATATACATTGAAAAATGTGAATTGAACTGATACTGGCTCAATCTAGATTTTAAATTTCGTTATATGTGGGAACAAACATTTTTCTCCATCCTCAAAATTCTTCAAGTGTTGGTTGTTTCATATTCATAAGACGACTTATAATAATGCCCCAGTTATATGACTTCTAATGAAATTTAATTCATCAAAACATTATCAGCAATTGAATTTGATGCACATAGATGTCACTTGTTATATCAACATTTCTATTTTTCCTAATCTGAGATAATAGTTCACCAAAATCAAGGTTCCTAACTTGCAATACGTGACATGTGATGACTGTTGAGGGTATTTCATAGTCCTTAGATTTTGTGTTCTAAGTTTCCTTAATGAGATCCCAAATGACTTCTATTAGTTGATCACTCTTCAAGATTGAATAAATTTTCTTGGGTTAAAATAAATTTTCTTGGGTTCTCCTTCATGCTTAATGAATGAAAATTTCTAAAGTCTGAGAACATTTCTCTTCTGCTTTTGGATACTTTATTCAAATTAACATTTGATTAAGGCCCTGATAAAATCTCTACATGATTTAGTGATTAGCCTGGATAATGTGTTTGTTGTCTCTCTCCCCCACTGATATGTAAGTTTAGGCAAGTTCTTTGTGTGGTTTGTTCACTGTAATCCAAGTAAATATAATAATGCCTGGCAGATGTTAGACACTCAAGGTATGCTTGTTGAATGTATTTAAATGAATATTTCCCTATAATTCATTGTCTTCTACCTTGTTTTGGTTTGATGTTTAGTAGGATTCTGTAAACATTTATCAGACCCTGTTCCTATTGAGAACGAGAGCAGGTTTGTCTGTGATTTCCTCTAACTAGAAGAAAGCAGGAAAATAAAAATGAAGACAAAAATCCTGTACTACTTTATGTGCTGCAAAAAGTAAACACTTAATTGACAGTGGCTTACACTGTTTCAAGAACATAGATTTTGCATAAATCTTCTGATTTAGGCAATAATAAGAATGCTTACATTTGCTCAGAAGTTAAGAAATGAAAAACACTTGATAAAAGCCATCTACCCTGCATTGGTTATTTCAGCAAGGCCTTGTCATGACTCCCTGAGGCATAAACGTGCAGAATCTTCTTTTTCGTAGCCAATTCTGATTATGGTCAACTTTCCATCTGAATTAAAAGAGAAGAAACAAGGGCACGTAGGGTGGATTGAATTGCTGGTGCCAATCCTTCCCCCTTCCCTGCATCTATACTCTGCTATATGATTTTGTAGTTCTTCACACAACTGTTGAAGTGGATATTTTGTCGCTTGACTTGGGCTTATCTGCATGATTTGTTTTACTAAGTGGGATCTTAGCATACGTGATAGGAACAGGCAGTTGATATATGCTTGTAGGTTGTCATGTCCTTTTGAGCCTCCGCCACTGCCATGAAAAGAATGGGCTACAGCTTGTCCAGTGGCTGAGAGAAGATGAAACATACACAGGGTAGAGCCACTTGGCCAGTCTGCCCTGTGAAGCACCGTGAAACCACCCCAGCCAGCAGAGCTTACAACCAAGTAGTCCTAGCTGATCTGCAAATTTGTGGGAATAACACTTCTTTTTGCTTTTTACTGAGGCTTTGTGGTTATGAGCAATTGTTAACTGATAGCTGAAGTAACTTTTTAAAAACAATAATTTGCTGAATGCTTAATATATGCTACACACTGTTCTAGACACCAGATAGTCAACTGTGAATAAAAATGATACAAATTTTGTCTCCATTAAGCTTACATTAGAGTTGAGGAGACAGACAGTATACAATCTTAAAAATGACAAATCTCATGTCATTTGGGTAAATGGAGCAGGGGAAAGGTTTATGTAGTTTGCGACAGATGAGGCTCTTTGTTAAGTGGGGTTCCTTTGGGGTTTCTTCCACCTGACACATTCTTTCCCTAAATGTCTTCTATGAGTCTCCTAGATTCTTTGAACCTTAGTTCAAATGTTATCTTCTTAATGACTTCCACTCACCTCACCCGAAGCAATCTGTATCCTCCTTTTCTACCTCATTTTTTTCCTATAGCTCTTGCCACCTTCTAGCATACAGCGTTATACATTTATTCAGTTAGTTAGTTGGCTATGTCAGTCTTTCCCACTAGATTGTAAACTCCAAGAGAGCAGAGACTTTCTGTTTTGGGTCACTGATACATCCACATCACCTAGTACAGTGCCTACCACGTACTAGTTGATCAATGAATATATTATTGAATGAATTAGTTAACAATAGTTCAGTTCTCTGGTATTCATCATTTTTTTTCATTTGCTGTTAAACATTCCCTATATCCTACTATTTTTGAAGTATAAACTTGTAAAGTACAGTTAAGAAAAAGGTTAAAAATGATTTTTAGTAGACCTCTTGTCTTTATATTATTATGCACACAGCAGAAAGTCTTGACTTGGGCAAATGGATATTTTAATAGCTTTGAGTTTGTACATATTATAAGAGGTTTTCTCTTATTTCACTTATAAATGCACACAAAGCTAACTTATAATATGTATAGATAATACCTTTTATTATAATACTCTAAAATAAAATGTTATATTTAATAATATATATAAAGGATTCACTCTCCACCTATATCCTATTATGAAAGCCTTGTAAGAACATCAATAGTTCACTGCATTTGTAAGTAATCAATTTATTATTCCCTGACATTTAAATTATACTTAAGGGGATTAAGTTTTAAACTAAATATTGACATATTAATGTCAAAAAGGCATGCATTATCCACAAAAACAATTCTGAAATTACTTTCAGAGAATGTTAATTACTGCCAGGAAGAATAAAACTCAATTTTAGAAAACGTTTCTGCTGTGTTCAGAAATTTTAGATTTTAAGGGTATTTAAAAATCTATGCTTTGTTGCTTGAGGCTGAACCATTTCTTTTAAAATTCAGATGACATATTTTTAAATTTTTATATTATTGATCAAGGTTACCTATTAGTGACAGGGATCTGAGAAAAGGAGAAACAACTTTCAGTGTTTTGTGATGTGAGGGGTAACTTTATGTGTCAACCACAGGGTCACTGGGTGCCAAGACATTTGGTCAAACATTATTCTGGTTTCTATGTGGGGATGCTTCTGGATGAGATTAACAGTTTAATTGGTAAACTGAGAAAAGCAGATTGCCCTGTGTAATGTGGGTGGGCCTCATCTAATCAACCAAAGAACTGAATAGAACAAAAAGACCGGGTAAGAGATATCTCCTCCTGCCTGACTGATAGAGCTGGGAAACTGATCTTTCTTGCCTTTGGACTCAGACCAAAACATTGGTTCTTCCTTGGTCAGAAGTCAGTCAGCTTTTGAACTGGAACTGATACTTTCAGCTCTTATGGTATTTAGGCATTTAGACTCAGACTGGAACTTGCACCATTATTTCTCTTGGTTCTCAGGCCTTTGAACTTGGACTGAAACTACACCATTCACTTTCCTTGATCTCTGGCTTGCTGGCTACAGATTATGGGACTTCAGCCTCCATAAATGCATGAACCAATTCCTTGTAGTAGATCTCTCCCTATGTCTCTCTCTCTCTCTACACACCCACAGACACACATTCTGTTGCTTCTGTTTCTCTGCAGCACCCTAATATTTATGGATTCCAAATTTTAATTTTATGAATTGCTTTTTCCCATTTGTGCATTATTTGTACCAAAACTCGAATGTTGAACAACCACAGCGTTATTTCCTCAGCAAGATCTTATTTTATTTATTTTCAATAATTCATTTAACCACAAAAGAAAGAAAAGTAATTAAACTAATCATTATTAATTTGGACTATTTTCTTGTAAAATTTTTCAGAAGTGAAATACACTTACCAAGACCTTTCTGAACTTAAAGTTCAGATCATTTTTCCTCTTCTAGCCTTATATCTCCACTCTTCGAACAAATGAACACTCTAGTATCTTATTTATTTTTGTGTGTTCTGTAGTCTCTATCACCTTTATTTCCCTGTTGTCTTAGTATTAAATGAAAATACCTGGGTAAAATGAGGAAAAGATCTTAGCGCTGAGCTACAACAGGACATCTGAACAATCTGCTGCATGAAATTCTCACAGCCCGAGAAAAAACATAGTGGGTAAAAACCTAGGAAGAAAAGGAGAAATGCAATGACAGAAACAGGCTGGAGTGATGTGCTTCGAAGAAGGAGAAAGAAGCCAGGAGCCAAGGAACTTAGGCAGCTCTAGTAGATGGAAAACACAAGGAAATAGATTTTTCTCTGAAGCCTCTAAAAGGAATGTAGCCTCGCCAACACCTGCGCTGATTTACCTCCATTATCTCATTTAATCATTCCTATAAGACGGATGCAAATACGAAACACAAAATTTGTATTTTGCTGATGAAGAGTCTGAGACAGTCTCGCTCAAATTTACACAGCTGGTCAGTGTAGAGTTGCCCAGTCTGCCTACAGATGCTACGCATTATCACAGCTTTTTGACACCATTAGCACGATTAAATCCACGTTTACAATTGAAGAAACAGGTTTGATGTATTTCATTAATGTGCCCAGCATTACCTAGCCATAAGCAGAAGAGTTGAGCTTGTAGCTAAGACATTTCTACTCCAGAGTCACTCTTAATCGTTACTCCATGCTACCTCTTCATTTAGGTATTTTTGTCTGGGAAGAGAAATTAGTGACATTTGACTTGTAATTGGTGACATCAATGAAATTGACTTGTAATTCTAAGACACATTTTATATTTCCTAACTGGTTAAGTTAGTTTGTTCCTAAAGAAAAAAACTGAACAAACTATTTATTTATTTATTTATGAGACGGAGTCTCACTCTGTCACCCAGGCTAAAGTGCAGTGGCATGATAAAAAGTTCATTAGGTGGGGGAAAAAACAGGAGAAATACTAATAACATCAGTTCTGTACTTTAGTTAATAGTAATGTAACAGTGTTAATTGTGAAGGTCTTGCCAAAAAATGCATAACTTTATTTTCGTCATGAGAAAGCATCAGGCAAACCAAAACTAAGGGACATTCTACAGAGTAACTCATTAGTACTCTTCAATTAAATGGATCATTAGTACTCTTCATTGGAATGGCAATTATTGAAAAGACAAAAGACTACAAGTGTTCATGAGGATATGGAGATATGTGTCATAATTGGACAATGGTAATGCAAAATGCTTATCTTAGGAGAGGCTGGGTGAGAAGTATATGAGAACTCTCTGTACTATTTGTGCAACTTTTCTGTAAGTCTAAAATTAGTTGAATATAAAAGTTAAAAAAGAAAACACTTCAAAAAACCCAAAAACACATTATTAATAAATTATGGAGATAATTTCTTTCTTAATGGTACCTTTCTTACAGCAAGGGAACTAATGAACTAAAAGGCTTCTGCACAGCAAAGGAAAGAATCAACAGAGTGACAAGACAACCTATGGAAGGGAAGAAAATATTTGCAAACCACACACCTGTTAAGGGGTTAATACCCAAAATATATAAGGCACTCAAACAACTCAATAGTGAAAAACAAAAAAAAAATCCAATTAAAAAATTGGCAAAAGACCTACATAAACATTCCTTAAAAGAAGATATACAAATGGCCAACAGGTTTTCAAAAATGCTCAACACTTGTTCATGAGGGTATGGATTAAAGGACACCCTTGCAAACTGATGGCGGGAATGTAAATTAGTACATCCATTATGTGAAACACTATGGGGGTTTCTCAAAAATATAAAAACAGAACTAACATATGATCCAGCAATTCCACTTCTGGGTGTATATTGAAAGGAAAAGAAATCTGCATGCCAAAGAGATATCTGTATTCCCATATTCATTGCAACATTATTCACAATAGACAAGATATGGAAGCAGCTTGTGTCCATAGACGAATAAGTGGATATAGAAAATGTGGTATACGGTTGATTCTTGACCAACACAGGGGTTAAGGGATTCAATCCTCCATGCAGTTGAAAATCCACATATAATTTTTGACTCCCCACAACCTTAACTACTAATAACCTACTGTTGACCAGAAGCCTTACTGATAACATATATTGCAAATTAACATATATTTTGTATGCTTTAAATATATTATGTACTGTATTCTTACAATAAATTAACCTACAGAAAAGAAAATTTTGTTAAGAAAACAATAAGAAAGATAAAATATATTTACTATCCAGGAAGTGGAAGTGAATCATCCTAAAACTCTTTATCCTCATCATCTTCTCATTGACTAGGCTGAGGAGGAGGAAGAGGAAGGATTCGTTTTATAGTCTCAGGGGTAGCAGAGGCAGAAAAAAAGTCACGTGTAAGTAGACCCATGCAGTTCAAACCCATGTTCTTCAAGGGTAAACTATAAATATAGATATTTATACATACGTAAGTGGATGTGTGTATAAATATATATAATAGAATATGATTCAGTAAAAAAATAAAACCTTGCCATTTGAGACATGATGAACCTGAAGAACATTATGCTAAGTAAAACAATCAGACACAGAAAAAAATTTGTATGATCTCATTTATATGTGGAATATTTACAAAGGTCATAAAAGCATAGAAATTCATAAAGCTAGTAACAGTCGTAAAATCAAGCAGCCAAGGGTAGAACATTCATTGTGTGGCACTGGGAGAGGGGGATGGGATGGGGAGATGTAGGTAAAAGGGTGCAAAGTTTCATTTAGACAGGATGAATAAATTCTTGAGATCTTTTGTACAGCATGGTAACTACAGTTAATAATGATGTATTTATACTTGAGAACTACTAAGAAAGTAAATCTTAAATATTCTCATCACAAAAAAAAAGATAACTGTGTGAAGGGATGGATATATTAATGACCTTTTTTGTGGTAATCATTTCATGATGTATATGTGTGTGTATATATATAAGTGTGTGTTTATATATACACATCACATTGTACACTATGGACATATGCCATTTTTATTTGTCAATTATACCTCGATAAAGCTGGGGAAAAAAACAAATCTATAAATTAGAGAAAGCACTAAGCAAGCAGGACAATCAAGAGAGAACTGTGCTTTCTGAGAGATATGTAATTTTGTCCATATAAGTGAGTTTAAATTTCTATTAGTCACATTAAAACATTTTTTAAAATGTCCCAAAGCATGAATCTAGAGCTAAGCGTCAATGGGCCAGCCATGAAGCCAGAGCCAATTCTGCACCAGTGGCATTTGGAATTTAAAAAGGAAAGAATAGATTTGAGAAGAATTTCAGTGTTTAATACTAAGAGATTTTCAGATTTTGCACTGGAAAGGGTCTTAGAGGTTGTCATAGGTAGAAAGATACAGGGCTTTTATTAAAATGTGTAAAGAATTAAAAACAAAAAAGACACTTGTCATGACTACTTCCATACGTGTTCTGTGTCTTATATCACTCTTGGACCTTCTCTCCTTATTGTCTCTTCCACCAGAAAGTTCGTGTCAGAACATTCCAGAGGTGTTGAATATGGACACAGCCACTTTAATGTACTCTGTTTTATTACATCAAATAGCCTTTATTTTCCTTCGTTGTCATTTTAATTCCAGAGATGTAGAGCAATTTGGATGTCTAATCTAGGAAAAGGTATGAACAACCTTTATTAGTCTTAAGTTGGCAAAGGAAGGGGTGAATTATTCCTATATAAAGGAGTGTTATCTACTTAATTCTCCCTCAGAAATCATAGTTCAATAAACATTACCAACTAATGATAATATTATGACTATATTATAATATTGGGTCACATTTTGAACTAATTTTGCAGTATTTTGACTACTTTTAATTATTCTTTATATTTCCAAAGTTGCAATGCAATGCAAAAAAATCTGCTGTCTATGTATCCTCCTCTCAATAACTGGTTTTCTTTTTCAAGTAATTCTTGTAGCCACACAATCACCAGGTTTTCTGTCCTACAGCCCACACACTAAGAGCTTCCTGTTATATTTTGCTGTAGAATGCTCTATCTCTAGCTCCGTGAAGAAGCATCACTACAGCTTCAATTCTTCTGCTCTTTCTTTAATGTCTATGCTGCTGATTAATGATTGATTTGCTTTAGAAGTGGTATGGGAAATACCCAAGGATACAAGGAGTTCTTCACTCTAGTTTATTTTGCACCATTAGAACATAAGGGTAGTTAAATAACTCTTGAAAGAAAGAAAAGATACTCAGAATATATTTTTTAAGATTTTACATAGTTTTAGGTGAATTAAAGATTACATTGGGCTTATTCTCAGTCAACCAACAATTTACTAAAATCATCAAAGTTAGTGGCTCTCTTTCCTTGGGACTTGCTAAACTAATATGTTTTCATATGATCCATGAAACCTCTTCTTTGGAAGAAAAGATCTCTTTTCCTGGATCCTGTGCTGATCTATAAACATTATCTGGGACATCACCTCTAAATAACTACCAGATTTAGTGACAAATTCTTGATTCTCATTCTTGAATACTTTGCATACTTTTATACTTGGTTCACACTGGTACATGCTAACAAAAATTACGCAATAATTTTTGCAGTAAATTCTATAAAGCTATTTTTCTTTTGGTCCTAGATTACTAATTTCCAACACTCCACAATAAGAAAATCTTGGCCACTTGAATTCCTGGACATCAATAGCCCAGTTTCCAAAGTACAGTTGTGTCTTCAATAAGTTTTTATTGAATTAATGGACAAATAACATATCTGCTTTCCAAGTTCGATGAGTATCACCTCTGATACTAACCTTATTTCCTGCAGTGGTAGAAATTGATTCTCCCTCACTAATTTTTCAGTGTATCAGTTACCCTTGCTAGGTTATGCCATAGTAACAAATAATCTCAAAGTCTCAGTGGCATTCATACATATAAGTTCGTCACAATTGTTATACAATGGCTCAATGCTGTCTGTCACTTGACTTCAATATTCTCCAATAGGACCCAGGCTGAAGGAATAGCCACTGTGTAGGACAGTTTTCTGCAGCACAACAAAAACAGCAATTGAAGAACCACTTGATATTGTACAAAACTTCTCTGAAATAGCACACATCATTCCTGATCTTTTTTGCCCCAAAACAACTCTTTGCTCAAGACTGACATTCTGTAAGGATGGACTCACTAGGAGAGGAGATACTTTGACAATATTATGATCTACCACAGTGGCTCTCTTGATTTTAAATAAAAAATTACATTTCTTTCTATGCACATAAAACATACTCACTCCCTTTCCAATGGTGTTAACTCAAAAGTCCCAGTTCCAGAATACTGTGATAATCTCAACATTTTCTCTGAGTGGATCCTTTTTATCTGTAGATCCATGAACTATAAAGAGAAATTATCTGCTTACTGCCACACCAACAAAAACAAGGGTTGAACAAATCCAGAAAACCACAATTAACACTCCTTTTCAGAAAAGGGAACAATGAAGGCACAGGGCCATGCCTAGTACACAGCACTTCTGTGATCCCACTGGTAAGATAATACAACCCTGCCTTAAGGTGGGTAATGTTTTTTAATTAAGCTCCATTTCTGCTCCCTGAAAACAGCTCCTAAATCCATAGTTCTCTATGCTCTTCATTTCACCTTCTGAAGGCTATTAGTCTCCTGCGGAAGGGGGAATCCCACAGTCCACTTTAAGTCTTGGACAGCTTTCACAGACAAGTGATTCTTTTGACGGTGATACCATCTCAAAAACTTAGCTGAGTTTTTATCTATGTGAATCCAGTCATTTCTATGTGCCTCAATAACCACACTCACAATTCTCTGCAATGTATGACTTAATTACAGGTCTATTAAATTTTTCAAGTTATAGACAGTCCCATGCATTGCTTTTCTAACTTTGCATAATGATATTTTATTTCTTTTTCAGTGACAATCTCCCTTTAATATGCTGAACTTAAAATATTGAATTATTAAGATTAATACTAATCACATATCTTGTATTAAAGAGTGTAAGAATAGCAAGGAAAGGGGAAAAAGTAAATAGATAAAAAATAAATACATGTAAAAGCAAAGAGTGAAAGCATGTATCTTCCTTAGTTCTGATTTCTGCAACTGAGCACAAGCTTATAGTCCGAATTTATAACATCTGTCTTCCACTACCCACTCTTTAGCTTCAGGCAGCGTCTTAGCTTGAGAAATGATCTCAACTTTCTTACTTTGTTAGGTGGCCTAAACTTTCAATCCTCAAGTGCTGCATCAGTATTGGTCTTGCTTTTTTGGCTTTCTATATTTTACCATTAATTTTTACCACTGGATTTGCAAGTATTATTAAGTGTCCTGAAAATCCCCTGAGTTCCACACCAGTCAGAATAGCAACCTTTTTATTGCCTGTTGGCAAAACTATGAACAGAGTTTAGCTCTATGTGATGACATTATGATTGAAATACATTTTGTGTGTGATTTTACATGCCTTTTTTCCCCTTTGAGCATATAGAAACTATTTAATTTGAAGAAAAGTGTTTTAAAATAATACACTACTGCAGAATGAGTCATCAGTGAAGAGTGAAGAAAACACAATGTTGCAAATAGAGTAATTTATCAGTCCAGCTCCTCCTCATTGTCCACACCTCCTGCTAGTATCGAGTCTCATTCCACCACTAAGCTGCTCTGTGGATGGTGCATCCTCAGCCCCTCCTGCACCTCACTCCCCTCAGCCCCAGGCCCTTCCCAGATTTGCTTGGGCTACATAACAAATAGTATTTTTATTTTTGTATTCAAAAACAATGTTAGACTGGATTTTAGAGAAGTACTTTACTATGAATACCAATTTGAACAAGTAGAAAAGGAGAGTTTTTAAGGAAACTGACATAATTGAATGCATGCATTTTTATCTCATAAATAAGGTTCATAAATGGTAGAGAAAAGTGTCTACTTTATAAATAAAACAAGAATATCAAAAGGACATTGGCAGTAATCTAACTGGGTTAATGGTCATCTATGTGGTACTGGATCCACATCCTGCATCTCACTTAATAACTCTGTGACTTAGAGTAGGTTGCTTAACATTTGCAGTTCACTTTTACCTTCCAAGAAAATTGAATAACAACTACACCTATGCCATGGGGTTTTAAAACATGAATACAAGAGGCTGGGTGTGGAGGCACACACCAGTAGTCCTAGCAACTCAGGAGGCTGAGGTGGGAGGATCTCTTGAGACTAGGAGTTCAAGACCAGCCTGGGCAACATAACAAGACTCCATCTCAAAAAACAAACAAACGAACAAACAAAAAAACAAATAAAGCTAAAAAAAAAAAACAAAAATCATGAGAACATTTACACACATAATAAAAGAGTTCAGAAAGCATGACTGCACAAAGTGAGCACTTTACAAATGTTATCTATTGTTAGGTTTGATGATCAAAGTCAGAAACCTGCATCTTTTTAGGGATGTAAATTGGTTTGCTCAGAGCTTATTAGTATTCTCTTAATCACAATACTGTACTCTCTGGATAAGACATCTCAACATATTCAAAGAGGAACACTGTGAAAATTACTGCTAAACTAGTCCATGATGAAATATTTAGAGGTAAGACAAAGTGTTCTGGAAACTTGATTTAGAATGCGCAATGGCTTAAGAGCATGATACAAAGCTTCCTTTTCTTCCTTCTAATGCTTGCTGTTTTCTTTCACAGGATGGAACAGAACTGACCCACTAAGATCTGTACTGGCTCAAGGGTAGTTGAGAAACAGGTGACATCCCATGTGTCACCATATCAAGGATTGAAATGAAGCTTTATCTTGTGAGCCTGAAGCACATGCAGACATGGGCTAGTTAATGTGCAAGTCCTTTGCTGTTTAGACTGTGCAGATGAAAGACTAGGGGTATGTAAAAGTTAAGGATTGGGCCAAGGGTTAGTGTTGACTCAGTTTATTTGGCTATTTAACTTTGTCAGAAAGATTACAAAATAACTTTTTCCTGTCATCAATCCACAGTAAAATGATAGCACAGAATGATTACTTTTAAAAATGTTTCATTTTCTCCCTCAAGATGAGCCTTGACTCTTGCAATGCTATTACGTAATACATATCCTTAACTCTTCATCAGACTATAATAAACTTAATTTACAAGTCTTTTTAATTTTTTAATTGAAATCGTTCTTCAACTGTTCCTCTCCTTTGATCCTCAGTAATCATCTAGCCATTCATCTTTATGACCCCAGCCTCACTTTGCACTGCCTTGTGGAATTCCAAAGTGACACAGCCCAGTCTCCTCAGAACATTCAGTTCTGTAGCCAGAGGCCTGCTACTTCTTTTGTTCAAAAAATGTCAGACACTTCTTTCAAGATCCAGTTAAAATTATTCTCTTTTAAAAACCCTTTAGGGAACAGTTACTTTTTGTTCAGACTTGTTTATTTAATTTCTTTCCTACCAATCCCTTGATTTCTTTGACGTTTGTATCTCTCTTTCTAGGGGCTGTAGGTAGCAAAGAGAACTGTATGGTTGAGAGTTCTTACCATATCAAGCCGACTTTTCTCACATTTCTAAAGTGTTAATTTTCTGGCTTGGGAAATTAAAGCAAAATAAAGTATTATGTTTCCATTTCTGCTAATTCGTTTACACTTCTTTAAATGAAATCACATCCAAAGCCCTTTATATCAATAGCTTCAGGACGAGGTCTCAAAATGATGAAGGAGGGAAATAAGGGGGAAAATAAAGTGAAAATATTGTTAAACAAAAACCTTCAGAGGAGAAGGAGGAAGACAGGTAGGGAAAAGGAGAAATATCCTTCATACTTTCCCACAAAGTGGCCTTAATAACAAATAAATCATAGTAATGCTAACAATAGCTACACCAAAGTTGAATGGCAAACAACATCTAAAACTCAGGATTAACTTAAAAGTGATGTTAATAATTGCTATTGCGAAGCCACAGTAGACTGGTGATATGGTTTGGCTCTCTGTCTCCACTCAAATCTCATGTTGAGTTGTAATTCCCAGTGTTGGGGTAGGAACCAGGTGGGAGGTGACTGGATCACAGGGGTGAATTTCCCCAATGCTGCTCTCATGATCATGAGTGAGTTCTCATGAGACCTAATGGTTTAAAAGTTTGTGGCACTTCTGCCCTCACTCTCTCTCTCTCCTGCTCCACCACGGTAAGACGTGCTTGCTTCCCCTTTGCCTTCTGTCATGATTGTGATGCAGAATTTTGTTTCCTTATCTCAGTTAATCTGGGTTCTTGTCTCATGACCAGGAAGAACTAGGCACACAGGCACACTGAAGGGTGAGGAGGATGGAATTTATTTAAGTGAAAGGAAAGGTCTCAGCAAAGAGAGGGGGTTCTGCAAGCAGTTTTCCACCTCACAAATTGAATACCAGGGGCACCACACACAAGTTGAAGAGACTAGGCTTCTCCCCTGCATAAGTCATGAATTCCTGGTGGCTCCACCCCATTACCCCAATGCACGTGGGTCTCCTGTGCAAGTCCAGCCATGCCCCGTATATAGGTTCCCTTATCTGCACAAAATATCTGACATAAACATTTATGGGGTGTCAGAGATTCTCCAGGGAATCTTTCCTATCTGCCTAGTCCTTTGTTGGCCTTCTGCCTCTATCAGCTGTAAGTTTTCTGTGGACCCCAGACATGTATCCTTTTAAGCCTGTGGAACTGTGAGTCAATCAAAACTCTTTTCTTCATAAATCACCCAGTCTCAAGTAGTTCATTATAGCACTGTGCAAATGAAATAATACAGAAAATTGTTACCAGGAGAGTGGGGTCATTGCCATAAAGATACCTGAAAATATGAAAGCAACTTTGGAACTGGAGAACAGACAGAGGTTGGGACAGTTTGGAAGGCTCAGAAGAAGAATGGGAGATGTGGGAAAGTTTGGAACTTCCTAGAGACTTGTTGAATGGTTTTGACCAAAATGCTGATAGTGATATGGACACTGAAGTCCAGGCTGACGTGGTCTCAGATGGAGAAGAGGAATTTATTGGGAACTGGAGAAAAGATCACTCTTGCCGTGCTTTAGAAAAGAAATTGATGGCATTTTGTCCCTGCCCTGGAGATTTGTGGACTTTGAACTTGAGAGAGATTATTTAGGGTATCTGGCTGAAAAAATTTCTAAGTAGCAAAGCATTCAAGAAGTAACCTAGCTATTTTAAAAATTGTACACTCATATGCATGAATAAAGAAATTATTTGAAACTGGAACTTATATTTAAAAGAAAAACAGCACAAAAGTTTAAAAAATATGTAGCCTGGCTATGTTGTAGAAAAGAAAAACCCATTTTCTGGAGAGAAATTCAAGACTGCTGCAGGAATTTGCATAAGTAAAAAGGAGCATAATTTTAATAGCCAAGAAAATGGAGAAAATGTCTCCAGGGCATTTCAGAGACCTTCATGGAAGCCCCTTTCATAACAGGTCCAGAAGTCGAGAAGGGAAAAATGGTTTTGTGGGCCAGGCCCAGTGCTCAAATGCTCTCTGCAGCCTCTGGACATGGTGCCCTGCATCCCAGCTGCTCCAGCTCCAGCCATGGCTAAAAGGGGCCACGGTATAGCTTGGGCCGTGGCTTCACAGGGTGCCAGCCCTAAGCCTTGGTGGGTTGCGTGTGGTGTTGGGCCTGCAGGTGCACAGAAGACAAGAATCATGGTTTGGAAACTTTGCCCAGAGTTCAGAGGATATATGGAAATGCCTGGATGTCCAAGCAGAAGTCTGCTGCAGGGGCAGAGCTCTCATAGAGAACCTCTACTGGGGCAGTTCAGAGGGGAAATGTGAAGTTGGAGCCCCCACAAAGAGCTCCCACTGGGGCACTGCCTAGTGGAGTTGTGAGAAGAGGACCACTGTCCTCCAGACCCCAGAATTCTAGAGCCACCAACAGCTTGCACCGTGCACCTGGAAAAGCTGCAGGCACTCAACGCCAATCAATGAAAGCAGCTGTGGTGGCTGTACCCTGCAAAGCCACAGAAGTGGAGCTGCTCAAGGCCTTGGGAGTCCACCTCTTGCATCAGAAGGCCCTGGATGTGAGACATGGAGTCAAAGGAGATTATTTTGAAGCTTTAAGATTTAATGACTGCCCTGCTGGGTTTCAGACTTGCATGGGGCCTGTAGCCCCTTCATTTTGGCCAATTTATCCCATTTGAAATGGGAGCACTTACCCAATGCCTGTACCTCCATTGTATCTTGAGAATAACTAACTTGTTTTTAATTTTACAGGCTCATAGGCAGAAAGCACTTGTCTTGTCTCAGATGAGACTTTGGACATGGACTTTTGGTTTAATGGTAAAATGAGTTAAGACTTTGGGGGACTGTTGTAAAGGCATGATTGTGTTTTGAAATGTCAGAAGGACATGAGACTTGGGAGGGGCCAGGGGCAGAATGATATAGTTTCTCTGTGTGTCCTCACCCAAATTTCATATTGAACTGTAATATCCAATGTTGGGGGAGTGATCTAGTGGGAGGTAATTGAGTCATAGGGGTGGATTTCTCCCATGCTCTTCTCATGATAGTGAGTTCCTACAAAATCTGATGATTTAAAAGTTGTGGCACTTTCCCCCTCACTCTTTCTCTCTCCTGCTCCATTATGGTAAGACGTGCTTGCTTCCTCTTTGCCTTCTGCCATGATTGTAAGTTTCCTGAGGCCACCCAGCCATACTTCCTGTTAAGCCCATGGAACTGTGAGTTAAGTAAACCTTTCTTCATAAATTACCCAGTCTCAGGTAACTACCTCATTATAGCAGTGTGTGAACAGACTAATACAAATGGAAAATAAAACCCAGAAATGCTTTATTTATTAGTAGCATTTCCAATTAGTACATGTAGAAAGAATGATGGGAATAGAAAATAATTTTTTGGACTATAGCTCAGTAATAATTTTTTCTGGAAAGAACCATCAATAATGCCAAAATTGTGTTGCCAAAGTATAATGAAAAATAGAACATTTCCATAATAGCAAAGAATCTCACCATAAAATAGTTTAATTATAGAAAGAAAAAAAACCCTGTAACTCCATAGTGTAGAATCCTGGCATCTATTACTTTACTAAAGTTTTCAGTTGACATGTATCAGTAGTGAGACATATAAATATCATATACCTCCTAATATGATGCACTCAGAAGAACACAGCATCACTTATGATTATACACAAAGGTACAAGTTAAACATGAAGAAATATCAGACAATTCCAAATTGAGGAACTGTACACAGAATTACTGGCAAATATTCTTCCAAAGTGTTAAGGTCAAGAAGACTATGATGCTATCACAGGTTTGGAAAATACTAAAGAGACCTGATAACTAGCAACAATGTGCAACCTTGGACTAAATCTTGACCACAAAAAGGACATCAGTGAGATAAATGATAAAATTTGAATAAGGTATGTAGATTAGTTAATACCTTATCACTGTTAATTTCCTGAGTCTTGATAATTGTACTATGGTTTAAAAGCTATTAACATTTGGTGAAGCAGGATAATGAATTTGTGGAAGTTATTTTAAATATTTTTTAACCTTTTTGTAAGTTTAAAATTATTTCAAAATAAATTCTTTTAAAAAACTAGAATAATGAAGAGACCACATTTATAAGCCCACATGATCCTCAGAATTAGAAGGTTTAAAAATAAATTCAGACTCTCCAAATAAATTTCAGAAAGGGCCCATTCTTATTTTATTACTTACAAAGTAAATAGATGTGCAGCCAGCAAAGAATGAGCTCTTTTGGTGTATGTTTAACTAAAGAAGATTATGAAGTGTCTGTGGAGTTATAATGGTCTCAGATGACACTTGGTGAACTTTCTATGTTTACTTTAAGGTTTTTTTTTTCTGCATCTAACACCACATTTGATGTTTAAAATTTTATTTTCATCCCAGAGAAAAGAAAATATCCATTTTTAAATAAATAAGAAACCAACATGATAACACTTACCTGTTCCTTTAATCTCTTTCTAAAATAGAAAACACACCCACGTGAACACACACACATACCCCAAATATCCAGTTGCATGATATTTGAACTGAATTATGAAAGCTGTACCACTAGGATTTTTCAAGAAGACTAACTTAAACTGAAGATACCAAGCTATTACTGAGGAAAACATTATAAATAGTTATAACAGTTATTAATTATTGCCAAAACAGAAAAATGTAAATGATAAAAAATCCTACAGTGAAGTTATGACCATAACTTAGTTCTTTACAAGTAAGTACTTATAAAGTTCTTTATAAGTGTAGGAAAACTCTTTGGGCTATTTCTTAAGCCTAATTTTGTTTGTTTCCCGAGAGATTCAGATTTTATAAGAGTAAGTAAAATAATCCTGAAATGTTTATCTGGAGTGGCAGATTTAAGATGGCCACTCATTCTTTTGATGCTTCTTTTATCTATATCCTCTCTGTTGCATCTGAAGAGATGCCAGGCCAATTTCAGATCCTGGTGGCTTTCATTTCCTTTCTCATAGAATACTCTCTCTTGAAGTTTAAGCAAACATATAAGAAAGTAACTAACCACTGAGGAGATAATGTACAGAAACCATGAGAATACATAGAGAGGAAGAATGGACCAACTCAGCACAACCTTTAAATCATGCTCATGAACATGTCAGACATGGAAATACAGCCTTTTCTGGACTGTGCAGATTAGCCCAGCTGCCAGCTGAATATCACCCAGTGACCACAGTCACTTAGAGCAGAAGAATCAGTCAGCTGAGTCCTACTCGAGTTTTTGAACCACATATCTGGATTATAAAGGATAATTGCTTTAATCCGTAGTTTTAGGGTGGTTTGTTATGCAGAAATAGATAAACAGAAGACATGGATGTGAGGAATCCTGTTTGGTGGGTGTGGCAAGGGCTGCAGCTATCTATCCCACTCTCACTTCACCCTTAAAATCTGAATCTCAAATATGTGGTGGCTGTATGCCCAGTTTAATAACTATAACTCTTTCTAGCCTCCCTTGAAAGTCTGTGTGGTCAAGTGACAAAGGTCCACCCAGAGACATAAATGGAAATGATGTTTACACACTCTGGAAAATGTCTTTTAACTGTTTTTTCCTTTCTTCTCTGGACCAAAACATGGATATAGTCATTTGTGCTATGTCCATCATCTTGGACCCTGAAGAAGAAAGAAGACTTCACACTTGAAAATTTAGAGCTTAATGCTGTAAGGATCTTGAAATTTTGTGACTTTGAGAAGTTAGTGAACTTATTTTTCATGATCAAAAAGTATATATTGTATCAGCCACTGGTGCCTCAAACTTTTTTATGTATGAAGCCAAGACTAACAAATTAATGGGTAATTAAACAAGCAGGATAATGGGGCAGGGCATAATTTATTTCCAGCAATTTTAACAAGATAGAAATAAAGTAATAAGACTCATTTTGATGCACTTTGCTCTGTTGCGTTTTGCATATATTGTATTTTTTTACAAATTGAGAGTTTGTGTCAACTCTGCATTCAGTAAGTTTATGGGGCACCATTTTCCAACACTATGTGCTTTGTGTCTCTGTGTCACATTTTGGTAATTCTCATAGTAGTTCCAATTTTTCATTTACTTTATATCTATTATACTGATCTATGATCAGTGAACTTTGATGTTGCTATTGTGATTGTTTTGGGCAACACGAATCATGCCCATATAAGAGAGCAAACTCAACTGCTAACTGTTGTGTGTGCTCTGCCTACCCCAAGTACCAGCCATTCCCCCATTACTCTGCCTCTCCTCCGGCATCCCTATTCCCTGAGACACAGAATATTGTAACTAGGTCAATTAAGAACCCCATAGTAGCCTCTAAGTGTACGGGTTAAAGGAAGAGTAGCATGTATCTCACTTTAAATCAAAAGTTAGAAATGATTAAGCTTACTGAGGAAGGCATGTTGAAGCTGAAATAGGCTGAAGTCTAGGCCTCTTGTACCAAACAGTTAGCTAAGTGAATACACAGATGATAAGAAAGCAAAACAGCTCTATTGCCAATATGGAAAAAGTTGAGTGGTCTGGATAGAAGAATAAACCTGCCACAACATTCCCTTAAGCAAAAGCCTAATCAGTAAGGCCCTAATTCTTAATTCTGTGAAGACTGTCAGCAGTGAGGAAGCTGCAGAAGGAAAGCTGGAAGGTAGCAGGGATTGCTTCATGAGGTTTAAGGAAAGAACCATCTCCTTAACATAAGATTGTGAAGTAAAGCAGCAAGTACTGAGAGAGAAGCTGCAGTAAGTTATTCAGAGGATCTACCTAAGATAATTGTTAAAGGTGGCTACACTGAAAAACAAAAACAAAAAACAAGCATATTTCCCATGTAGATGAAATTGCCTTATATTGCAGTAAGATGTCATCTAGGACTACTATGGCTAGAGAAGAGGAGTCAATGCCTGGCTTCAAAGCTTCAAAGGACAGGCTGGCTCTTTTTTAGGGGTCAATGTAGCTGGTTATCTTAAGCTGAAGTCAATGTTCATTTATCCTTTCAAAAATCCCAGGGCACTTATGCATTATCCTAAATCTACTCTGTCTGTTCTCCATAAATAAATGAACAAAGCCTGGATGACAGCACATATGTTTATGGCACGGTTTACTGAATAATTTAAGCCCACCATTGAGACCTGCTGCTCAGGAAAAAAAAAGGATTTTTCTCAAAATACTAGTGTTCAGTGATAATGCCCCTCAAAACTCTGATGGAGATATGCAGGGAGATTAATGTTGCTTTTATGCCTTGTAACACAACATCCATTCTGCAGCCCATGGATCAAGGATTTATTTCAAGTCTTACTAATTAAGAAATAAATTTTGTAAGTCTACAGCTGCCATAGATAGTGATTTCTCTGACGGATCTGGACAGAGTAAATTGAAAACCATCTGGGAAGGATTTACCATTTTAGATGCCATTAAGAACATTCATGATTCATGGAAGGACGTCAAATTATCAACAATAGCAGCATTTTGGAAGAGGTTGATTCCAACCTTCATAGATGACTTTGAGGGGTTTAAGACATCATTGGAGGAAGTAATTGGAGATATGATGGAAATAGCAAGAGAACCCGATTCAGAAGCTGACCTTAAGGTGTGACTGAATCAGAGCAATCTTACAATAAAACTTGAAATAATAAGGAGTCACTTCTAGATAAGCAAAGAAAGTGGTTTCCTGAGTTGAAATCTACTCCTGGTGAAGACGTCGTGAACATTGTTGAAATGACAACAAAGGATTTAGAATCTTCCATAAACTTAACTTGATAAGGCTGCAGCAGAACTTGAGATGATTGACTGCAATTTAAAAATAAGTTCTGTAGGTAAAATGCTATCAAACAGCATTTCATTATACAGAAAAATTTTCTGTAAAAGCAAGTCAATTAATGCAGCAAACTTCATTATTGTCTTAAGAAATTGCTACAGTCACCCAAAACTTTAACAACTACGATCCTGACCAATCAGCATTTGTAAACACTGAGGGAAGACCCTCCACCAGCAAAAAGGTTGGGATTTAATGCAGGCTTCGATGATTGTTAGCATTTTTGGCAATAAGGTATTTTTAATTGTTTGCACATCATTTTTTCTTTATTAGATGTAATGCTATTGCACACTTACTAGACTACAGTATAGCATAAACATAACTTTATATGCACTGGGAAACAACAACAAAAAAACTTGTGTGACTTCCTTTATTGTGATATTTGCTTTATTCTAGTGGTCTGGAACCAAACCCACAGTATCTCTGAAGCATGCCTATGTCATTTAGCTGGGCCTTGAGATCCTAATAGTCAATGATCATACATGGAATCTTTCATTTGTTCATCTCCACCATTAGCTAAGATCCAGAAATTGTATTATACATCCTAGTATATATTAGCCAATTACTGGCCGTTTGATTTATTTAATCATGGTCTTATTTTCTATTTCTTAATTTAATATTTTATTATATAAAATGTAGAAAGTAATGTAACAATACTATAGCCACCCACACCATAGAAATAAAAATTACAAAACTGAAATATTATGTATATCTCCGTCCCCCCAGGCCACTGTATTTCAGCCTGGGAGACAGAGTGAGAGTCCTCCTTTAAGAAAACCTTACAGGTTCAGAAAAATGCAGAGATGAACAATAATATTGTTACTGGGCTCTTTGAAAAGTCAGTGCTATTCTGAACATAGAATCTTAATACATTTTCTAAAATTCATAATTGTATTGACACCTGGAGGTACTAGATATGAATGCCCACTGAAGAAAAGGGAGAAATTGCCTTGGGGCAGAGAACTACATGGGCCATATGGTTTCTATTAACTCTTAAAGATACAGAGGAAAGAAGCAAGCTTTCAAGATCCTCTTCACTTAATTTTCAGTTTTGAGTTCTAGAGATTTTTTTGAATATTGCAATTGTGTTTTCTTTATATTTATTCTTTAAGTTTGGTGCTGGCTATAGAACAGATGACATGCAGAGAAGGGAGTTTATTCAAGTCTGATTCATAGTTCCCTCAACTACACTAACTCATTCAAGATTGATTCACTACGCCTTTATAATAATTCTAACTTCTTTATAAAGTCAATGAATGTTCTGCTTTTTAAAAAAAAACTGTGGTAAGAAAATTTAGGGTAAAAGAATACACAAGTCAGCTAGGCACAGTATCTCATGCCTGTAATCCCAGCACCTTGGAAGGCTGAAGTGGAGGATGACTTGAGCTAAGAAATTCAAGATTGCAATGAACTATGATTATCTCACTGCACTTCAGTCTGCGCAATAGAGTGAGACCCTGTCTTCAGAAAAGAAATATGCAATACATCTTTTCGCATATTCGTGTAGTCTTTTGAGTTTTTTATTCCTAAGGAGAGATTTGGACTATAAGCAGAAAAAAAGAAAGCCTTAGCAAAAACTTTCAAACAAAAAGCCCTGGGGGAGAGTATATAGGGTGCCCCAGAACTAATCATGCACCTGGACACACACATGTGGGACCCCAACAGGTAACCTCATAGAAAAACTAGGCCACTTTTAATATAGCCATAATTCCTAACATATTTTGTTCTTGCACCAATTTCTTTCTCTATCTCCTGTGTTTTCTTAACATCCAAGATGGGCTTATTAATCATTATTTCAAGTAAAATAAGTATATTGAATATGACTTTTCCAATTATGTGTGTCCCTCTTGTGTTGAATCATGCTTTTGGGAATCAGTAGTGTAGAGGTTGATATGCAAAATTGTCTTTTATAAATCTTTGGTGTCAATTTTAAGGATGGAGGAACACTCTGTCTCTGCCTTGTGGTTTGGAGAAATCGAGAGGGAATGAGTCGTGTGAGTGAAGGCAATAGGGCACAGATTGGGGTACACTTCCAAAATGACTGATTTTGTGATGCACCCAGAACCCTTCCGAAGCCCACTTTGGAACACATTTCTTTCAGACTCCTACAATGCCATCATAACTACATTATTCAATAGGATGAGTCATCAGGAAAATATGCTGTAATTTAAGAATTAACTTATATTGGATCAAATCCTCATAAATATTTATAAGGAGCTTAAGTTAGGGCCCAGTAAGTAGTTGGTTGTATGTAAGTATTAATAAATTGTATAAGAAAATTAGATCTGGAGATGAAGTTGTTTGGCTTCATTTGATGGCCTGAAGCTTTTACGTTTGTCTGTTTCTGAAAAAGGGGTTTTCTTCTATCTAATATATATTAAAATGCTTAAAATAGTGTTTGGCCTTTAAGGCATACTTCACATAATGGAACACTACACATGGTAAAATATTTCATGAAGCCCATTGTTTATAGGACTTCGGGTATAATTTTTATTATTTCCTGAAATTTTTATGCATTTAAAATTTATTTTCTATAGGACAGGGAATATGTCTTTTCTTTATTTCTATATCCTAGTAGAAGTCAGGAACACAGTCACTGCTCAATAAAAGTACTCTTGGCTGGGCGCAGTGGCTTACGCCTGTAATCCTGGTACTTTGGGATTACAGCACTTTGGGAGGCCGAGGCAGGTGAATCACGAGGTCAGGAGATCGAGACCATCCTGGCCAACATGGTGAAACCCTGTATCTACTAAAAATAAAAAAAATTAGCTGGGTGTGGTGGAGCGCACCTGTAGTCCCAGCTACTCTGGAGGCTGAGGCAGGAGAATCGCTTGAACCCAGGAGGTGGAGGTTGAAGTGAGCTGAGATTGCACCACTGCACTCCAGCCTGGAGACAGAGTGAGACTCAGTCTCAAAAAAAAAAAAAAAAGGTATTCTTGTATGTTAAAATGTGAAAGCAGATTTGAGATTCTTCAGGTAGATTCACTTCAAATTATATTTTAAAGTTTTATAATAATTGCATATTTCTTGGACTAAATACAGAGATATTTGTAATTATTAGTTTTTCATAGGCCTCACCTTCTTTGCTGGATAATAAGTTCCTTGATCAGAAACAATGCTGTGAGGGATAATATGATGTTGTATAAAGCATTCTGTAAATCAGTGGATGTTGGTTTTGGCATCGCGGGCAGGAAAGGCAATTCTATATGCAGAATAAATATCTACACTAGTGAGAACAATGTGCAGTTCTTTCCATCGTGGAAGTAGTTCAATAAATCAGATACTACACAGATTTCATGAGCAATTCACATCACATGACTTGGTGGTTCACAATCAAGGGCTAAGTCTCTACTAAAGCCCAATAGCAAGCCAGATGCTATTTCTCAAAATAAGAATTGTTATTTATTTACAGAGGATGGTGAAGCGTTTTTCAAAATCTTCAGATTCCTTGCTATCATTCACTTTTCAATGATTCCATACTTCACTATCTACCAGACATGCTTCAAATATAATTGGATCTGTTGGTTCTTATGGTCCACTGGCAGGTCAATTTCCACTGAAGCCTAGACTTATTTCATATCTTTCTCTTGTCCAGGACCCCCCATTCAGAACTGGTGGTTTTGGACTTACTTGGTAAATGGATTGGAGTGAATGCCCGAATTAGGTATGTGTTGTTTCAAAATCCGAAGAGGACTAGTTGATATTGTGCTTCTTTGTTTATGGTAGGAAGGACATAATCCCATAATCCTTCACCCAGGATATCTCAACTTGCCCCAAATAATTGAACCCCTAAGTATTTTATCAAGGTGACAAATCCTTGAAAATTTTTGGGATTTGTTTCCCACCCTTTGTTTTATATGAGCTTTATCAATTTGTCAAAAGCATTTGCTACTTTCTTTTTAAAAATTATTTCAATAGGTTTTTGAGGAATACATAGTATTTGGTTAGATGAATAAGTTCTTTAATGGTGATTTCTGAGGTTCTGGTTCACCTATCACCAGAACAGTGTACACTGTACCAAATGTGTAGTCTTTCATCCCTCACCCCACTCCCACCCTTTCCCCTGCGTCCTCAGAGTAAATTGTATCATTCTTAGGCCTTTGCATCCTCAATTTAACTCCCACTTAAGAGTGACAACATAAGATGTTTGGTGTTCCATTTCTGAGTTACTTCACTTAGAATAACAATCTCCAATTTCATCCAGGTCGCTGCAAATGCAATTATTTTGTTCCTTTTTAAGGCTGAGTAATATTCCATTATATATATATCACATTTTCTTTATCCACTCGTCGATCAATGGGTATTTGCACTAGTTCCATATTTTCACAGTTGCAAATTGTGCTATAAACATGTGTGTGCAAGTATCTTTTTCGTATAATGACTTATTTTCCTCTGGGTAGATACCAAGGAGTGGGATTGCTGGATCAAATGGTAGATCTACTTTTAGTTCTTTAAGGAATCTCCACGTTGTTTTCCATAGTGGTTGTACTAGTTTCATTCCCACCAGTAGTATAAAAATGTTCCCTTTTCCCTCCATCCCTGCCAAAATCTATTATTTTTTGACTTTTTGGTTATGGCCATTCTTGCAAGACTGAGATGGTATTGCATTGTGGTTTTGATTTGCATTTCCCTGATCATTAGTGATGTTGACCATTTTTTCATGTTTCTTGGCCATTTGTGTATCATCTTTTGAGAATTTTCTATTCATGTAATTTACCCACTTTTTGATTGAACTGTTTGCATTGTTCTTGCTGTTTTTTTTTTTTTTTGAGTTCCTTTAAGATTCTGGACATTAGTCGTTATCAGATGTATAGATTGCAAAGATTTTTTTCCCCACTCTGTAGGTTTTCTGTTTACTCTGCTGATTATTATTATTATTTTTGCTGTGCAGAAGCTTTTTAGTTTAATGGTCCCATCTCTTTATCTTTGTTTGGTTGCATTTGCTTTTGGGTTCTTGGTCATGAAGTCTTTCCCTAATCCAATGTCTAGAAAGGTTTTTCCAACGTTATCTTCTAGAATTTTCATGGCTTCATGAAGGTCTTAGATTTAACTCTTTGATCCATCTCGAGTTGATGTTTTTATAAGATGAGAGATAAGGATCCAGTTTCATTCTTCTACTTGTGTCTTGCACCATTTGTTGAATAGGGTGTCCTTTCCCCACCTTATGTTTTTGTTTGCTTTGTCGAGGATTAGTTAACTATAAGTATTTGGCCTCACTTCAGGGTTCTCTATTCTGTTCCATTGGTCTATATGCCTATTTTTATACCAGTACCATGCTGTTTTGGTGACTATAGCCTTATAGTATTGTTTGAAGTAGAGTAGTGTAATACCTCCATATTTGTTCTTTTTGTTTAGTCTTGCTTTAGCTATGCAGGCTCTTTTTTTTGGTTCCATATGAATTTTAGGATGTTTTTTCTCATTTTGTGAAGAATGATGGTGGTGTTTTGACAGGAATTACATTGAATTTGTAACATGCTTTTGGCAGTATGGTCATTTTCACAATATTGATTCTACTTATCCATAAGCACGTGATGTGTTTCCATTTGTTTGTGTTGTCTATAATTTCTTTCAGCAGTGTTTTGTAGTTTACCTTGCAGAATTCTTTCACCTCTTCAGTTAGGTATATTCTTCCTAAGTATACATTTTTTGCAGCTATCATAAAAGGGGTTGAGTTCTTGAGTTGATTCTCAGCTTGGTTGCTGTTGGTGGATAGCAGGACTACCAATTTCTATACATTAATTATGTATCCTGAAACTTTGATGAATTCACTTACCAGTAATTACTGGTAAATGAATTCATTTACAATGTTTTGGATGTGTCTTTAGGGTTTTCTAGGTATATGAACATGTCCTCAGCAAAGGCAGCAGTTTGCCTTCCTCTTTACTGATTTGGATGCCCTTTATTTGTTTCTCTTGTCTTACTCCTCTGGCTAGGATTTCCAGTACTATGTTGAATAGAAGTGGGGAAAGTGGGCATCCTTGTCTTGTTCCAGTTCTCAGGGGGAAAGCTTTCAACTTGTCCCCATTCAGTATAATATCTGCTGTGGGTTTGTCATAGATTGCTTTTATTATCTTAAAGCATGTCCCTTTTATGCCCATTTTGCTGAGGGTTTTAATCATAAAGTTTGCTGGATTTTATCAAATGCTTTTTCTGTCTCTATTGAGATAGAAATAATAATGTTTACAGATATATAGTTACTTAATAAAGTATAAAGAAATGTGGGGAAATGATTACTGTCTATTTTGAGGGAAAAGAAAGAAAAATGGGACAAAGAGGGGCTTCCTTTAAAAAGAAAACTCTTCATTGAGTTATGATTGACATACAAAAAGCTGCACAAATTTAATATATACAAGTAAATGAATTTGGAGATGAGTATGCACCTGTGAAACCAATCTATGCTATAGAACAATTCTATGCATGAAATACAATCTATGCTATAAACCAATTCATTACCTCCGAAAGTTTTCTTCTTCCCTATTTATTTATTATTATTTGCTTAACATCTATTATACTTAACATCTATCTTCTCACCCAATTTTATGTATACAATACAGTATTTTTAACTATAGGCACTATTCAGTATAGCAGATCTCTAGGACTTATTCATCTTGTATAACCAAAACTTTGTACCCTTTGACGAATATCTCCATGTTTCTCCCTTCCCCTGTCCCTGACATCTACCATTCCACTCTTTGCTTCTTTGACTATTTCAGATTCATCATGTAAATGGTCTCCTGTAGAATTTGTCCTTCTGTGTCTGGCTTATTTCACTTAGCATAATTTTCTCCAGGTTATATAGATATCTGTTAGCTCTAGTTGGTTTATAGTTTTATTAAAGTCTTCCATTAATCATTTTCTAA
Organism: Homo sapiens; assembly: GCF_000001405.40. Taxonomy (NCBI): domain Eukaryota; kingdom Metazoa; phylum Chordata; class Mammalia; order Primates; family Hominidae; genus Homo; species Homo sapiens. The sequence goes on along the minus strand of NC_000004.12, from coordinate 156,404,227 downwards.
CTAGTTCAATTCATTACTGATGGTGAGATGTTGAATTCTACATGTATTAATATGGAATTGTATATTTTTGGTATTCAATTTTGTCCATTGTTGCTTTGTATTTGGTATTTTGCTTACGGTATTTATGTATTAGTTGCACATAGTTTTATAATTATTACATCCTCTTAAGGAATTGATCATTTTATCATATAAAGCATCCTTCTCTGTTTCAATTATAACTTTTTATCATAATGGTTATTTTATTGGCATTAATATAGTCATTCCAGATTTTTGATAAATATTTGCATTTTGAATATTTTTTCATTTTACTGTTAACTTACTTGTCTGTGAACCTAAGGTGTGTATCTTGTAGGTAGCATCTAGTTGAATCAAGCTTTTGCTGGTTTTTACTGTTTTCTATATGTCTTGTGTCTTTTCTTTTCTTCTATTACTTAATTATAGCCTTCCTTTGTGTTAAATAGATACTTTCTAGTATACCTCTTTAATTCCATTGTTATTTCTTTTAATATTTTCAAACATTTTTTAGTGGTTGTCCTTGTGATTACAATTAAAATCTTAATGTAATACTAACTTAATTTTATACAGAAATTTTGCTCATGTATCGTTCCATTCCCTATCCCTTCTTTGTGCTATTATTGTCATTCAAATGACATGTTTATACTCTGCCAGTCAACACAGATTCATAATAATTGCTTTATGCCATTGTCCTTTAAATCAGATAGAAGGAGACAAAAGTAAAGAAAAATACATTTTTACTATATTTTATATTGCCTGTGTATTTAACTTGACAAATGTTCTTTAGTTCTTGTTATGCATTTAAGTTGCCTTCTAGCATTCTTTCCTCTTTGCCTAAAGGACTCCCTTAAATTTTTTGTTTGTTTGTTTTATTTCTTTTTTTTTCGTTGTATTGCAGGTCTGATAACTATGAAGTATCTCAGTTTTCATTTATTCTGGAATAGCTTTACCTAGTTTTCACCTTTGAAGGATAGTTTTCCTGGATATAAAATTTTTGGTTGGCAGAACTTTTCTTCCAGCACTTCAAATACATTGTCTTCTTGCCTTTTGGTCTCAGTGATTTCTGACAAGAAGTTAGATATTAATCTTATTGAGGTTTTCCTACACGTGTTGAACTGTTTTTCTCTTGCCACTCTCAATATTGACAATATTACTCCTCTCAATCTTTTGACAATTTGGCTATGATGTGTTGGTGTGACTGTCTTTGAGTTTATCCTAATTGAAATTTGTTGAATTTTCTAGATGTGTAGAATAATATTTGCCAGCACATTTTGAAACTTTTGATTATAATTTCTTCAAATATTCTTTCTACTTCTTTCTCTTTCTCCTGTCCTTTGGAGATTTTCATCAGATTTATGTTGGTGTATTGGATGTGTGCCATACATGTCTGAGGCTCTGCTCATTTTTTTCCATTCATTTTTTTTTATTAGTTTTAATCAGAATGGATAATCTCAGTTGGCATATTTTTAATTTCACTGATTCTCCTGCCATCTCAAATCTACTGTTGTGTTCTCCTAATACATTCTTTTTATTTTAGTTACTTTACTTTTCAGCCTCAGAATTTATATTTAATTCTTTGTTGTAATTACTATTTTTATTGATATTCTATATTTGGTGATACACAGTTTTCATATTTTAATTCTTTGAACATGTTTTCTGTTGTTGTTGTTGTTGTTCTTTAAATGTAGAAATTTTTTGTTCTCCTGAGGCACAATTTCTCCATATTGTTTTTTTTCTTTGTGTGTTTCATATTTTCCATGTGTCATAATTTTTTTGGAAAGTAAGATTTTAGAAAATACAATGCTGTAACCCAGGAAATCAGATTCTCCTACTCTCCCTTAGGTTTATTGTTGCTGCCTTTTAATTGTTTTTACTATTGTTTTTGCTTCCACTGTTTTTTATTTAGTGAGTTTCCTGAACTAATCCTCTAATGTTTATTCCTCCTTAGAGTGCATCCACTGAAGTCTCTACATGGTTTGGCAAGTAGTCAGTTATTGATTGTACCAATATTTTCTTAAATGCCTGGAAACTATAAGTCTGCTGCTCTTGACTAAGAATGTGTGCGTATGTGTGTGTAGTGTGTGTGTGTGTGTGTGTGTGTGTGTGTGTGTTGGAGTATAAGCCTCAGTGCTCAAGGAGTTTAAAACTCTACTTTAGCTTTAACTCTTTGCTTATACAGAGCCTTAAGGTTACCCAGGAGTGAAAGATTGGAGACCTTTAGGCATTTTCTGACCATGCACACAACCCTGCCTATGCATGTGATTTTCCAGTTTTCCAGGTATATGTCAGAGCTTTCAATGTTATTTATGAGCATCTCATTCCCAAAATCTTCTTTTCACATTTTTGGCCAGGCTCTTGATTGCCCCACCTGGTATTGAAACTTAAGGGAAATGCCTTGTTAAACAATTGCTACCGATTATTTTTGACAAATGTCCTTGCGATCTTGGAATAGAGCTTTCCTGCAAGTAAGATCAAATAGTGATGAAGCCCTGTAAGTGGGATTTTTACAGAGATCTGTAAGACAGATCACATAGTTACAAGGCTTTAAGGATACAAATTTTTGAGGAGCTCGAATCTCATTCTTCCTCCAGTGGTGGCAAAGCTGCTGATTTTCACAGCTACCATGGTGATGAGCCTACTGTTTTTTCAAGATTACTGTGAAGCCAGGGAGTGAAAGATGGGAATAGGCCAAGTTAAAAAGCTATAAATTATCCTGTTTGCACTGAGGTTCAGCAGTCTTTCTTGAGTAAATGTTCCTCTGTTTTCTTAACTCTTTGGTTAATCTCCAGAGTTTTGAAGAAGTAAATTTTGAAAAATGTTGTCGTCATTTTGATTATTTTTATTGATTAACAGATTTACAGAAGTCCTCACTTTCATACGTAGTGTTTTTAATTGCCTACCAGTTGTTCTGTGCTAATTTACTTTTCAATGTCTTGTGATAGTTGCTTTATGTATTGTTTTGTCCAGGACTTTTAATGGTAATCAGTAGAAAGGATAGAGTAGAGTATGCTCACTCTTTCTTAACAACTAGAACATCTATTGCATGTTCTTTTATTCAAATCAAAATGAAACATTATATAACAAACTTGCTCTGTTCATAATTGATTCATAAACAACAACAAAGAACTCAAAAAGTTTATTGGTTTTTTAAAGGCCAAAAAGCCCCAATATTGTTGTAAATATGCTCATACACTGAATGTAATGTATTAGAATACTATTTCCTCTGTATCATCCTTCATGTTTTGTACCATATATTCTTTTCAAAGTTAAATATCCAATTTTTTTAGCTCAGAAAAATATTTTGATTTGGTTAGTATAAAAAATGTGGAATAAGTTATATATATCTAACAAAATTAAAACTTTGGTTGATAGTACCAAAGCCTCACATTAGACAGTGCTTGAAGGATACTTATTATTACTCCACTTCTGCTTGTTATTAAGCAAAGAGTGTTTTAGTAAAAAAGTTGTTAAATGATCTTAAATAATCTGTCTTCACAACTTTATTTATTTTGTAAGTTATGATAGAGTTTTCTACAAGTATGTATGCTATGTTGGCCATATTGTCTAGGTCTGGAGTGATACGCTAGACCTTATTTAGAGGTGTCAGGATGGTAAATTATAATAATGTGTAATAATGTATTAGGAAGCCTTCAGTTTCAGATAAAAGTGTTCAGGGACTTCAGAAATATTGGTGTACGTGCCGGAATATCTCTGGCATCCCCAAAGTAACCCACTGTAATGGCAGGGAAAAGATATACAAGCAGGTATACATTACTTAATACGAATCTTAATATTCACTTATGTTTGAATAAAATCTGCATTTCACTAACTGAACAGATGGTAATTAATCAAATGTAACACTATTTATGAAGACTAGATCTTAGCCAGAATTTCACATCCATTGTTTTATTTATCCTTTGCAATAACCACTTAGAGTAAAGATGTCTTATATAAAAGCTTTGGAATCCAAGGTACAAAAAGCATAAAAGTAGATTACAATGATAGTGAAGCTACCAGAGAGTACACATTTTATAATTCGATGCAAGATGTTAATGTCTCCATATTTTAATATTCTGACAAAATTTTAATGTTTCAAAGACAAACAATATTTTACTTAATTCGAATACTCTGACGATTATGAAGATGGTAACAGATTGCTATCAATAACATTCTGGAAATATTATTTTGATCCATAGGCAAAATTGCTTGTTCTGAGAGAGAGGAAAAATAGAATTTATGGGGTTGGCTATTTCTACATTATCATTTGGCTCACTTCTTCTCTTGTATTACATATCATATAATCTCTACTTAAAAAAACATACATTATGATCATATTGTTTTCATTACTATTCAGTTAAAATACTGCAAACTTGAGAATACTAGGAATGCTGTGTCTTTATAATAGAATTGGAATTTATATATTGAAACAAGTTGAAACTTCCTGTATCCAAATTTTATGATAAAGAATTACAACTATAATCAAGAGTTATGAAAACTTAAAATATATAGCAAGTTAAAGTATTTTGGCCTGAATTATCAAAAAAAATCTGTTTTTATTGTGCATTTAAAAAAATACAAACTTAATCTTAACATTTGTAACCATAGTGAAATCTTAAAAAGTATTTCTTGGAATGCTTCTTTGGTTTTTTATTATACCTTTGGGTTCCATTTTAGAGCTTGGGTGCTTTAATTGTCATCCCTTAGCAGTCAAGAAAGTAAATTAAAGGAACTTTAGGTGAAAGAAGTGATAGATCTTCCATGCTATTGGATAGACTTCAAAGGTAGAGAGCTGTATTTTATTCCCTGTGATTTTCTTTAGGCTTTAGGAACCAGCAAATATCATCAGAGAACAAACATCTAGTTCAAAACTGAGAAGAAGAAGAAGAAAAAATATTTCACTATCATATAAACAGTCTTGAAGTTATCCTTGAGGGAGGAGGTAAATTTTGAAAGGGATACTAAAAGGTCTCAGCACATAAAAACAGCTCTATATCCTTGAGGAATCGCCACACTGTCTTCCACATGGTTGAACTAATTTACACTCACACCAACAGTGTAAAGGCGTTCCTATTCCTCTACAGCCTCACCAGCCTCTATTGTTTCCTGATTCTGCACATGTATCCCAAACTTAAAGTAAAATTAACAAAATTTTTAATAGCTCTATATGAAACAAAATATTTTAATTCTACAGAACTGTTTGAGATTATAAGAACACAATATTTGCAGACAGACCTGAGATAAAAATCATTCTATTTTCTGTAGCTATCAATTGAATAATTGTGCAAATGAGAAACAGTGCCTAACCTCAAGGAACTCACAAACCAGTAGCTGAGTGAAGAGAAACATAGTTAACTCTAGTTTTAGACACTCCTTTTAGCACAGAAGGGTGCTCTCTGCTGAACAGTGGGAAGTAAATTGAGGAATTCTCAGTCTCACATATCTGAGGCCTCTTCTTCACCACTGCCAGGCTAGCATTCTCATTGCTGCTACCAACAACCAGTTGTTTTTAGTAATTCAGGGACATTCATCTCTTCAAGGATTTTGGTAGGACGATTGACAATAGAAACTGGCTGTTCTACAAATGTTTCTTGCCCCTCCAGTATGACTAAACCAAATATACAGCTGACAATAATAGAGGTAGGAAAAGTTCTTAAAAGTTAGTCGTGGGGATCTAAAAACACCCAGACATAACTGAAGATATAAAGATATGAATTGGGATTATTAAATGCATTTTCTACTTACAATATTTTCAACTTATGATGGGTTTAATGAGTGGCCCTATCGTAAGTCAAGGATCATTTGTACTTAACAAGTGGTATGACATAAGTACTGAAAAATCAGAATGGAGTGTGGTATTATTATGGCCACTCCTCACAAACTGCCAGCAGGGCCATAGCAGACAGTATTGATGGCATATTAGTCCTGGTCTTCTGGAGATGTCTGTGAGTTCCCAAAGGCTCACATTTTGATAGGCAGATCTTGCTCCAATTTTCTGCTTCTATACAATGACTATGTCATTGTATATAAGCATTTAGAGGTACTTAAATTCTGTACACGAATCCGTCTCATTTACCCAATGGATAGGGTACTGAAAAGTAGAAGATAGTACAAAAATACCTATGTAAAAAAGAAAATTTTCTTATAAAAAAGTAAAAGGAGAAGACAAGCCTCAGAGGACTGAAGGAGAAGTCTATCTTATTGACACTAATGTGAACATCGAATATTTTATGGAAAAATGTGTTTAGTAAAATTTTTAATTACCACCAATGTCCACTGAGTCAATTATGATATTTTCCCAATATTATTAGCTATGATGTCTCCCTCACTGCAGAAAGAATTTTTGCAGATAAAGCTTAGTCACCATTGGTGATGCTTCAGTTTCAATCCTCCTTTAATTTTCTTGGTAATGTCAAAAATTTTCTGAGTCTTATTAAGGCAAAGCATTCTACAAACAGTGATTTGGTTCATTTTAAATGACAAATTAATAAATTAATAAATGAAATAAGAGCAGAGGAAATAGTCAAAGATCGAGTGCTACTTTGCTTGAAATGTCTACCACTGTCAAATGATTATTTATTGCATAAATGTGAACAAGTCTCCCAAATTCTCTATATTCTTGAAGATCTTGCCTGAGCAAATTATATGGGTCTTTAAGAATAGTGTTATAGATTAATATATTACCACCTTAAAAATGTTTTCTACAGTACATTACAAGCTCCATAACTAATTTTGAACTGAAAACTGAGGCATTTAGCCAAATGGTTTGGGTTAAAATAAAATATAGTTTTTAAACTAAAAGTGTTCCCAGGTTTCTGACACTTTGAGCTAGATTTTTTAAAAATTTTCTGAAGCCTAAAAATATTGCTTATTTTTTCAAACTTTATTTTCTGTACTGGATATGTTTTCACAACTAATGAGAGACTGTAAATTTTTTTGATTAACTAGAAATGGCTTATAAAAGCTGTCTCTCTATATAATTCTGGTCAACAGAAATCTGTCTTTAAAAGATTTATTAAACTTGACCAAGTAGTTAGTATTTTGCTTGCTGGAAAGTAGTTCAAAACTTCTTTACATGAATTAGGCTATTTTAAATGATTTCTTTCTAAATGCAACTTTTACATAAAAAGCAATTACACAATTTAAAAAAATGTACTGGCAAGGCAATTTAAGTATAATAAGGAGAAAGTTGGCACTGTAAGAAATACATGCAGGATATATAGGACCCACATTTCTAAGAATTTCTAATTTCTGTATTGTTATGTTTTTTATGTAATCATTGGGGGAAATTCATGATATGGGGTATGCTGTAGAGTGGTTTTTGTAGTACAAAGCAAACACCTTGGTGCACAATTGAAAATGGTTGAGTGAAGTCATGGGAAATTAGGGGATTACTGCTTCTATGATTTCACCTTTCATATTGACAACGCAGCAGGTTATACTAACAGGAATAGAATTATGCAACACTTATTAGGCAAGCAAAGTGGGGAACATCAAGCTTAATAAGAAAAAACAAATATTTAGCTTTCTGAACGAAGGCATTTTGACACAACTTTGCAATTACAGAGTGCTAAGAGTGGACACTTAGTCTCTTCCTTTCAATTTGAGACTTTACAGTAGTTCCTGGTCATATTTCTTGGAAAATTTTCATTTTCTTCTTTCTTGCTTTATTTTTTAAAGACAATTTTTTAAAGTTAGGGCCCCAAACAAAACATTTGGGGGGGAATATTGGGCTGGTGAAACATTTCCCTCTCATATGTTTCAAAAATGAAAATATATGAAAGTCATCTAGAGAATGGATTTCATCTAGGGAGTCTTGTTTGGAAAGTATCTGATTCTTCATGTATCACCATCACATGTTCATTCTACTGTGTCCACTAGATCAAGTCTAGCAGAATAAGCATTTTCACATAAATGAGCTCAACAAGCAAAACTGCAGGTATAAGAACAATTTATGTACTGAATTTGCACTTCACAAGGAAGTTGAGAATGAACACGTAACGAGCAAAAGTATTTGTTGATGCTTAACACCTTCAGCAGGTTTTTGTCTTTGTTTTTTTCCTGTGGTCAGTGATGTGACACCAATCAAAGATGCAGATTGTTGAAAAAATATCAACACTTACTTTAAGATGTAGTACTTATATCAATATCATGATGGACAAGGGTTCATTTTCTGCATTCTCATATCATTCTGTAAAGTATGATGTCTACTTTTTCTTTTAAAAAAAGTGGCTGTTCTAAACTGAATGTGGTCATAAGTATAGTCATATTGTAAAATGAGTTGACTCCATAAACAAAAAAAGAATTTCAAAACTTTTAAATATACCAGTTTTATATTATTATCAGGTGCTTCCAATGGAGAAAATTAGTTAATACCAGTAATTAATGCTTCAATCCAAGTTACTAAATCAAAGCTTTGAAAATGTGAATGGCATATTCAGTTGAGTTACGGATTCAACATTAAGTATTGAATTTTATTTGCAGCAAGAATAAAATTACAGATTTCCTAGGAGTGCAGCTTCATAGCACAAACAATATTCTTGCTGACTTAAGAAAACGTTGGAATAGAAATGCCCTTGAAATGGTGATGTACACATAACTCATAATTTTGTCCATTAAAAATTGCATAGTCTACCAATCTAACTATGTAAGGTAGTTATTAAATTGTAGAACTATTTTTATATATTCACAACTATAGTAAGTAAATTACAAAATGTATGTGATTAACTGCTATGAATTTAAAAAAAAACCTATGTTACGGCTGTAAAATCTTTCTTTACTACTTATCAATCAAATTTTGGAAGTGATTTTGCCTTGCAATTATTGAAAGTAATATTTTCAGAAAAGAAAATCATTAAAATGTGTTACTACAAAATATGAGAAAAGAGTTGAATACATTAATGAGAAATTAAGCAGTTTACAATTTTAATTTTGAAATATTATTGTAACTTGGAATATCTTCTATTGTGGGAAGAATCTTCTGATAGTTTTCCGTTTTGCATTGGTTAGGTTTATATTCCACACTGGGAAGGAAAGTAAGTGAATAGGATTCTAATTTTTAGCATCTATATTTGGATAAACATTAACATTATAAATAAATAAAACATATTTTATAAATTTTGCTTCATACAAAGAATCATTAATAAGATATACTCAGAATGAAAGCAAAAAAAGATAACCTTAAATATTTACACATTTTAATACAAAAAAAATTCCTTTTAATATTATGGGCTGAGAGTTTATCAGATGCCTCAACTTCTGTTGTGAGATTGTGCTTAATTTAAAATATTAAGACATACAGAAGAAGAGTCAACTAAAGGCAACGACTTAAAACTTATTAACCATAAAATACAACTTTGGAGAATATTACATAGAACTTTATTAAAATATTAAAATAGACCAGATTTGAAGAAATACGTTTCCCAATAAATATCATTCAGTACATAGGCAAGGGCAAAGACTTCATGACTAAAACACCAAAAGCAATGGCACCAAAAGCCAAAATTGGCAAATGGGATCTAATTAAACTAAAGAACTTCTGCACAGCAAAAGAAACTATCATCAGAGTGAACAGCAAACCTACAGAATGGGAGAAAATTTTTGCAATCTATCCATCTGACAAAGGACTAATATCCAGAATCTACAAAGAACTTAAACAAATTTACAAGAAAAAAATAAACAAAGCCATCAAAAAGTGGGTGAAAATATACACAGACACTTCCCAAAAAAAGATTTTTATGCAGCCAACAAACATATGAAAAAAAGCTCATCATCACTGGTCATTACAGACATGCAAATCAAAACCATGATGAGATACCATCTCATGCCAGTTAGAATGGTGATCATTAGAAAGTCGGGAAACAGCAGATGCTGGAGAGGATGTGGAGAAATAGGAACACTTTTAAACTGTTGGTGGAAGTGTAAATTAGTTCAACCATTGTGGAAGATTGGTGTGGTGATTCCTCGAGGATCTAGAACTAGAAATACCATTTGACCCAGGAATTCCATTACTGGGTGTATACCCAAAGGATTATAAATCATTCTACTATAAAGACTCATTCACCATATGTTTATTGTGGCACTGTTCACAATAGCAAAGACTTGGAACCAACCCAAATGCCCATCAATGATAGACTGGATAAAGAAAATGTGGCACATACGCACTACAGAATGCTATGCAGCCATAAGAAAGGATGAGTTCATGTCCTTTGCAGGGACATAGATGAAGCTGGAAACCATCATTCTCAGCAAACTAACACAAGAACAGAAAACTAAATACCACATATTCTCACTCATAAGTGGGAGTTGAACAATGAGAACACATGGATACAGGGAGGGGAATATCACACACCGGGGCCTGTTGAGGGGTGGGAGGCTAGGGAAGGGATAGCATTAGGAGAAATACCTAATGTAGATGATGGGTTGATCGGTTCAGCAAACCACCATGTCACGTGTATACCCATGTAGCAAACCTGCACACTCTGCACATGTACCCAAGAACTTAAAGTATAATAATAAAAAAATACAAATCTCACTCAATTGTTATTTAACAGGAAAGACAAAATAGGTGCCGAGACCAGCTCGGTCGGGGAGACCCTAACCCAGCGGCACTAGAGGAATGACAGACACACATACAGAAATATAGAGGTGTGAAGTGGGAAATCAGGGGTCTCACAGCCTTCAGAGCTGAGAGCCCGGAACAGAGATTTACCCACGTATTTATTAACAGCAAGCCAGTCATTAGCATTGTTTCTATAGATATTTGATTAACTAAAATTATCCTTTATGGGAAACGAAAGGATGGGCCAAAACAAAGGGGTGGGTCTTGCTAGTTATCTGCAGCAGGAACATGCCATTAAGGCACAGATCGCTCATGCTATTGTTTGTGGTTTAAGAACTCCTTTAAGCGGTTTTCCGCCCTGGGTGGGCCAGGTGTTCCTTGCCCTCATTCTGGTAAACCCACAACCTTCCAGTGTGGGCGTCAGGGCCCTCTTGAACATGCCACAGTGCTGCAGAGATTCTGTTTATGGCCAGTTTTGGGGCCAGTTTATGGCCAGATTTTGGGGGGCCTGTTCCCAACAATAGGAATTTCTTAAGCCTATAGAGTCTCAAATGGTTGTTTACCATACAGAACTCTCTTGGAAAATAATGTTGGATGAAGTAGTCCAATAATAAAGATAAATCCAGAATTCTTCAAGACATATGGGTATGCCAAATATACCAGCTGTTTGGTTCCCAGCACCATTCTACCTTAAAATCATCAAATGGAATGTTTTGTCTTGACTTAACCCTGATTGAAACCAAGGTTTGCAAAGAAGACAATATATGCATCAAGAAGATTTAAGGATTATGAAAAAATGTTAACATTACAGTATTATTTTTATGTAAATCTACCTATTTCTATATTTCTTATGGTTATACACCCAGGTTAACATTCACAAGTTTCTAGAGAGAAGAAACTGGTCCTGACATTAAAATATACTAATAATATTAAGTTCCCTTTCCCCAAATACTTCGGTTTATTAGTCCTGATGAAGAATGGGTCAATCGAAAAGGGTGCCAAGTTGGTTATTTTCATTGCTTAAATGTCAGTGCATTTTACTTCCTTTTATTAGTTGAAGCCCCATTGTGCTGATTCACATTTATCCTGTGGTCAAGTGTGACCATTTCTAAATTTGTCCTAAAATACTTGTAAAAAAGCAAACTGGTCCACCGGGTATTTGTGGTCTATATATTTCTTCCATGTGATTTGTTGAACTTAATCCTGTTTATATTTGCTCCTTTCTCTAGCATGTATTCATGTAGAAATGTTAGATCCAAGCAACTATAACTCCTATGGTCCACCCAACAGAAATAGCAATGTCAAATAGCTAGTTAGAGATAGCCGAATTATTTGCCAAACACATTCAGTAACAATGAATATCGTGCAAGAGATTAACTGGCATATTTGTCAAAATAATCCTCTTAATAGAAGTAAATTTTATCAAAAAGTGGTTCAAGTAAAAAATTTTATCGCAGAGTTTTAAATATAAGGAATATTTCTGTATAATCCTGGTTTCTATACTACTTAATTATTCTAAGAATTATAGGTCAGTGATTATAATAAATAAATGTATTATATTCCTCTTTCAACATTGCTCACTAAATACATAAAGAATTTGAAGGTATTGTGGACAAATAAGTGGAGGAAGCAGAAAAGCCAAAATTGCGAAAGATAAATACTAGAAATTAGAAAAAGAATCATTTGTTCCATGGTAAACATCAGTTCTCCAAATAGCAAATGCTTCCCATGAAATATAGCAAATGGAAACTGAGTAATCTCATCTAACATTAAGGTGGTCTTATGACTTGATCAATAACAAAAGGTCTCAACTGCCTTCTTTTTTCTCCCCTGAAGTTTGCCCCCATACTAGTAACTTGAAATTCCCATCATTAATTTTTTTTTCTAGGGTGGCTATAGAGGGTATTAATCCAGAATTTTACTGTCTTATTGCCCAGAAGACAGCCTGTTTTTTCTGGGTCAGTGCTGTAGGACTCTCTGTAGATCTGAGACAGTGACAGTTAAAGAAGTTAAAGGTTGTATGGAAGAGGCTCTGAACGAAAGACCATCCTCAGCGTTTTTGGTTGGCCCATGTCAGCTCTGTCAGTAGCTATCTTGTTAGCAAACCAACCCTGAACCATAAAATGCACAATATTTAGTTTAATTTGCTTTGAGGCTCTACTTAGAAGTATTTCACAGAGTGAAATTAGACACTCCTTGGTCTATTTTAAAACATGACATAAACAGACTTATTATTAGACCCATCAGCCATTGTTGTTACAGATAGCTATTACCTAAAAATAAACACAGAAACAAATAAAATTTGCATCTTCAATACTTTCATCTTTCTGCACATATACACGCTTACAATGGCAAGCATGAATGTTCCCCTCCACAGGGAAATGCTGTTGTATATTCTTTCAGAGAAGCAGACACTGCTTTTCCCATTCCTAGTGTGAGTTGCTTTGAACATCATTTCCAATGAATGTGCCAATTTGGGAAATAGTGTGAGCCAAGGCTTCCTGATTTCAAAGCCATCTTGCATGGCCGCAAATATTTCATTTCTGGTTTTTGCACGCAGGATCAAAATGATGAAAGCTGACTTGTTCTCTCATGATCTAGAGAAGTCTTAGTTTTTGGTCAAGAATCACTGACAACTTTACCATGCGTTTTCTTTAATGTTGTGTTTTCACTCCCTCCCTCATTCACTCATTCATCCCCTCACTCACTCACTTGGGGAGCTTGAATTTACTATTTAGCCATCACTGTATTTATCTAGGTCTGCTCAGCTGGAGGCTTTGGAGATCAGAAGCTGTGGTATAAGGATTAGGGCACTGGCAAGGACTATTTTGGGCTGGAGTTCAGGGCAACTCTCCAGCCTCAGCAAAAAGTTCAAACCAGAAAACCAAGGCAAAAGCACAGTCATAAGAATTGGGCAATTGTTATGCAGAAATGAAGCTACTTAAGAAAAAGCTGTAGCCCAAGTATATGGGAGACATAGATTTACACTAATTAAAACTTGTCCCCTGATGTGGTCTGAGCCTGCTTATACCTGAGTGCATGAAATCATAGTGCTAATCGTGGCCTTTATTCAGTCCTGCGTGACTATTGGCCCTCATGGAAGCTCTGGGCATCCAGAATTACCTAGTGTTTTTAACAATTTGGATATCAAGTACATAGTTCCCTTTACTAAAAAAGACTAGGAGTCATATTCCCTTAGACATGTGAAAGATCACTGAGGCTTCCTTAGGAATGCAACTGTAATTCAACTAGGAATAAATAAATATCTAAGTAATTTAGGCCACCCTTTTATCTCTCTGAAAAAAGAAATATGTGATTTTGGAGGAAATCTACTCCTCTGACGTGAATTCTGTCAATTAAGTGAAGCGTCACTTTTTATTTGTATTTTGCCCTTTTATATAGATTTTACGGTTTTTTAAAATAAGATAACATTGTTCCCTTACTAAATTCCTGTTCTCGACCCTTCTGCTCTTCCTTATACACTCTTCATTAGGAAATTCAGAGACCACAATTCTTCCCCACCAGGCAAACAATGGCTAAATTTCTCTAATCCTGACCTCTCTCCCAAGCTCCAATGACGTAGTGTTTCACCAGCCTCTGTGATCTCATACCTCAAGCTGCCTCACAATGGCAACTTATAATTAACTTATTTTTGACAAGTTTATTATGCAAACAAATGAGCACATTTTTAATTTTTCATAATCATATGACTTTTTATTGCAATGTTGAAATGGGTCTTCCCATGAAAATTTATTCTTTCCTTGGTCACCTGCATGAAATTACCATATGGATAAACGAGGCAGACGATCACTTGTACTGCTCAAAATTTCCCCTTAAGTTTGAATGTAGTTGTCTGTATCATGTTGATTGATTGGATTGGATTCTTTCTTTAAATTATATTTATTACTTAACATAATAATTCAATTGTTTTGGCAACATGTAAATAAGAGTCAAATGTGCAAAACCAATCAATCAATCAATCAATTCACTGCCTGAACCATTTATCCTATCCATTTACTTTTAAACTGGCAGTAAACTGGCAGTAGGGAAGATAAACAGCCTTTAAACAGCAAACTATAAAGGAAAGAAAAAAGATTCCTACTCTTGTTGTTCCTTAGAGTCTTTAGAATTGGAAGAAGGATGGTAGATACTTTAAAAATGATTACAGACATGGCCGGGCACGGTGGCTTAAGTGTGTAATCCCAGCATTTTAGGAGGCCGAGGCAGACGCATCACCTGAGGTCGGGAGTTCGAGACCAGCCTGACTAACATGGAGAAACCCCATCTCTACTAAAAATACAAAATTAGCCAGGCATGGTGGCGCATGCCTGTAATCCCAGCTACTCGGGAGGCTGAGGCAGGAGAATTGCTTGAACCCAGGAGGCAGAGGCTGTGGTGAGCAAAGATTGCACCATTGCACTCCAGCCTGGGCAACAAGAGTGAAACTCCATCTCAAAAAATAATAATAATAATTACAGATACATAAATATATGTTTTTTGTTGTTGTTATTTTTCGTTTTTTGTCTCCCAGTGCATGAGACACTGGTGACTCTATCTCAGGAATTCTTAACCTTTGGCACTCTTGACATTTTGGTCTGAATAATTTCTCGCTGTGGTGAGCTGTGCATTGCAGGATGTTTAGCAACATCCTTGTTGGCCCTACCCACCAGCTTTCAACAACACTCCCAAATTGTGATGATCAAAAATGTCTCCAGATTTTGCCAAATATCCACCAAGGGGCGAATTGTTTCCAGTTGAAAAACTGCTGTATATGAATGCAGGTGATAGGAAATACCATGATTTGAAGCCCTTGCTGAGGCAAATGGTTTGCCACTTGACTGCACATTAGAATCACGTGAGGTACTTTCAAAAACTCAGTACCTCCAGTGATTTCACTTCCATAGATTTTCATGATTACTCTGTGTTGGAGCCTGGAAGTAAGCATCAGGTATTTTAAAATGCTCTCAGTGTTTAACAGGTAACCTCAGTTGAAAACCCTAGCTAGGAAAAGGAGTTGCCACCCGGAACATGAGACCTCAGACTGATTAAGATAATTATTCCTGTACTCTGCAATCACAGGCATTTTGAAGCATTATATTTACAGCACATGTTTCACTTTCATGGATTTATGCATTGAGTTTCTTATGTCAAAACAAAATAAATCTCTGAAATCTATAAAAGTCTCCAAAACATCAGACTTTTAGTATATTCTGCATGGAAGAATGTCTCAAATTAAATTTAGTGATGCATTATGTATTAAGTAAAATTGTCTGCGTGGAATAAAACTTTCTTTCCTACGTGTTCAGAGCCTCACTTTATCTGGTGTTAAGGCAGGTGTTAGGCCAACTCCCTAATGCTTGTTTAAAGGGATTATTGGGTAGAAGGACAACACATTTGAATATAATGAAATTGACAATTTATTTCTTGTCAAACTGCAGCTTGTTCTAAAAGAACCCAAATTCATTTACCTAACAGATACTGAAACCATTGGTTAAAAAGCTATAAAGAGAAATAAACACAAATCCCAAAGTCTAATTTATAACTAGATATTTTTAAAAGTAATAATGGAAAAGCAATGTGGTTTGTGAATTCAGTCAATTCACTTGTGGAATACATTTCTCCATTTTACTGGATCAAAATTTGACCCCTCCCTATTTTTTACTTCCAAATGATCCTAAATTTTGGAACATACATGTACAGTATTAGTTGATACTTTTCTTCGAAATAGATTTTCAGCTTCTGCTCTAAATTTCCCCTGAAGTTTTGTTCATATTGCTTTTTATCTGAACTGCCAAACAAAATTTACAAAAAGCTAAAAGCCTCAAACCACTGTAAATTTAGAAAGAGAAATATCAAAATATAGTGACATTTCCTGGAATAATAATTATTATTATTGTAGATTTCCTTAACTATAACACATTTTCAATAAAATTATATTATTTAATAAAAATAAGTGTATTTAATAAAATTATTTTATTTTAATAAAAAATAAAATTATAAAAATTGTTTAATAAAATAAAAATAACTATTTTTATTACACTTAAATACACTTATTTATCTTATTAATAAAATAAAATTGTATTATTTTATTAAATAAAGTGTATTTAATAAAAATGTTTGTATTAAATGAGGGCTATTTAATTTAAAAAGTGTATTTTACAGTGAAATATATACTTAAAAAACTTCTAGTATTATTTGTATGTACATAATCTTAAAATGAATGATGGGAATGCCCAGCCCAGACTTAAAAACACCAATGTGTAGTGCTTTAGACAATTTTACCTGTAGGGAAAAGAAGGAGAGATCAGACTGTTACTGTGTCTATGTAGAAAGGGAAGACATAAGAGACTCCATTTTGAAAAAGACCTGTACTTTAAAGAATTGCTTTGCTGAGATGTTGTTAATTTGTAGCTTTGCCCCAGCCACTTTGACCTAACCTGGAGCTCACAGAAACACGTGTTGTATGAAATCAAGGTTTAAGGGATCTAGGGCCTGTGCAGGATGTGCCTTGTTAACAAAAAATGTTTACAGGCAGTATACTTGGTAAAGGTCATCACCATTCTCTAGTCTCAATAAACCAGGGGCACAATGCACTGCAGAAAGCCGCAGGGACCTCTGCCCTTGAAAGCGGGGTATTGTCCAAGGTTTCTCCCCATGTGATAGTCTGAAGTATGGCCTCGTGGGATGAGAAAGACCTGACCGTCCCCCAGCCCATCACCCGTAAAGGGTCTGCGCTGAGGTGGATTAGTAAAAGAGGAAAGCTTCCTGCTGTTGAGATAGAGGAAGGCCACTGTCTCCTGCCTGCCCCGGGAACTGAATGTCTTGGTATAAAACGCGATTGTACATTTGTTCAACTCTGAGATAGGAGAAAAACCGCCCTATGGTAGGAGGCGAGACATGTTGGCAGCAATGCTGCCTTGTTATTCTTTATTCCACTGAGATGTTTGGGTGGAAAGAAACATAAATCTGGCCTACGTGCACGTCCAGGCATAGTATCTTCCCTTGAACTTAATTATGACTTAGATTCTTTTGCTCACATGTTTTTTGCTGACCTTCTCCTTATTATCACCCTGCTCTCCTACTACATTCCTTTTTGCTGAAATAATGAAAATAATAATCAATAAAAACTGAGGGAACTCAGAGACCGGTGCTGGTGCAGGTCCTTGGTATGCTGAGCACCGGTCCCCTGGGCCCACTATTGTTTCTCTACTCTTTGTCTCTGTGTCTTATTTCTTTTCTCAGTCTCTTGTCCCACCCGACTAGAAATACCCACAGGTGTGGAGGGGCAGGCCACACCTTCATTACTGGTATCATGCTTAGGTTACTGCCATAAAAGTGCTCAACTAATGGTGCTGAATTAAGTAATTGATTGCTAAGTACATATACGTTCTTAGTATTTACATCGTTGCTAGTCCATGTCTGTATATGTTTAAGATTCCATCAGATCTTTATCTTAAAGAAATATGATGATTGATTTCATTAGAATTACTCATGGAGAAATCATGTGTAAAGTCTTCATTTGAAAAAAAAATAGAGGCAAGTTTGCTGACCGCAAAATTTTGTATTCCTGAGATTAAACAGGCAAATGGGAGAAAAGGAGTTTTAAATGAATAATAATAACTGAGGCCACTTAACCTCCACCATTTATATTAAAACAGATAATTTCTATTTATAAAAAAATTCATGTTTGGTTGATAGACATTAAATAAAAGGTTTTAAATATAAATCAAAGTATATTGATACCATAAAATGTTAAGCACTACATAAATGGAAATTTTGTCAGTTATTACTGATAATAAAAAAATCTATATAACTTTATTGATAATTCCTGCCCAGTTTGGTCTCTCATTTTCTCAATTCCAGTAGTGTTGTTAACCTGTACTACATAACTTAAATCTTCATTATGATGGTCTTTAGGTAATACAGTGTAATGTTTGTGATTATTTTATAGTTTCAGCTTAAAACCCAGCAGGAGGAGATGACTAGCCTGACCTTGTGACTTTCAGAAATCTGAAATACTATGCAACTGTACAAAGCAAAGAGTAACAATAAACCTTATTTCAAAATTCTACTAATAATGAATACAATTATTTTGAGTCATGTTTGCTACCTATATATCATAAATGTTAATATTTATTTTATAATGTAAATAAAGCAACTATAGTTTCATTACAATAATTTTAATTAATTTTACACAGTTCATTATGTAAATTTTTGATGATTAACAATATAGGACAAATAATTATTTTTTAACATTTTGTTTTGTCACCTCCCATGTGTAGTAGAAACAAGCATTTCACACACAGGAACCAAATATACCAGGAGCACGGTACTACTTTAAGATGTTGGGTGGTGACTTCCCTGGCCAGAGAGGATACCAATATGCACAAGCCGATGAGGTAACAATAATCCAAGGGTCGTTGTTTGTTTTCTTTGGAAGGTCTGGGACATCAAGGGGCACTCAAAAACTGTTCCTTTCACAAAGTCTTTTTGCCTTTCTCCTAAGTCCCTTTGGCTCAGTCAGAAAACTTGCTTTCTAAAATATCAAAAATCTGACTCCCAACAATATATTTTTGAGAATTTTAATTCTGGTGAATTGACTTTGGTCTTGGAGAACTACTCCTGTCCTTTTTAACCTCAGTTTTCCTAAGAAATAATGAACTGTGGCCTGCAGGAGTGATTCTTTCCGACACCACTGTAGACAACGCGGCCATGCTTTCCTGGGAGACAAAGTTCTTCCTTGTGAATACATGTTCTACAAATGGAAATAAAAGCAGAATCGCTGAATATCTTCCTAGACATGTATTTACTCACTCACGCATTAACCAAGTGTTCATTCTAGTGTAGTGGTACCTAGATATTCTAGGCTTTATATCAGTGACCAAAGCCATCATCCATTCCTTCATGGAACTCACAGTCCAAGTCCAACTTTTGTAGCACCTCTACTCTGTGTTTCTAAGCCTCAAGTTTAGGATCATCAGTTAATGATAGTAGCTCAAATTTAACTTTCTGTCATTTCTTATGATACTTTATTTACTTTTCTTATGAAAAAGTAGATTTTTGTTTTATTTTATTTTAAAAAAGGATCTCACTCTGTAGCTCAGGCTGGAATGCAGTGTTGCGACCATGGCTCACTGTAGCTTCTACCTCCAGGGCTCAAGAGATCCTCCCATTTCAGTCTTGCAAGGATCTGGGACTACATGCACAAGCCACCACACCTGGCTAATTTTTTTTGTGTTTTTTTTTTTTGTAGAGTTGGAGTTTCACCAAGTTCCTGAGGCTGGTCTTGAACTCCTGAGGCCAAGCAGTCTGCCCGCCTCAGCCTCCCAAAGTGCTAGGATTACAGATGTGAACCACCACACCTGGCCTTTTATTTTTTTAAACAAATCAGTTTTGGAAGTAGAATTTGCCACCTGTATGCCATCTGATGATTCTGCACATGCACAGATTAATTTATGGTTGAAATCATTCTACATATCTGAAAGGTTTGTGGGTCGGTATATGTTGGGAAAGAATTAAAAAGCTATTTCTGGTTCTGTCATTACAATAATCCCTAAAAAACATCATTCTTTAAATTCATATCTTTAAAATTTTAGGTTACTTTAAAAATGGTAATATCAAATGAGTATTCATTTGTTAAGTAAAGGTTTACACATTTAAAAGTCAAATTCAATAATTAGATAATCAAAAGGATGACCAAAATAAATATTAGTGATTAAATAGATCTACAGAAAAAAAAAAGCTATGAAAGTTAGCTCACGTATGTTAGTTTACTTTTAGTTTATGGCTCAATTGTACCACTTCCCTTCAGATTAAAATTAAATGAAAATGTCAAATACAAAGTTTTTAATAAGCTCCTCTGGTGACTTAAGGATTATTGAATATCAAAATATCTTAATTGTTGAATTTTTCACTTTAAGGTAAATACAAAGATTCCCTTATAAGTCATTCAAAATTTTCCAATCGATACTAATAGTATAAGCATTTTTATAAAATCATGTTTTATCTGGTATATACATTCACTCACCATAAACCTATTAAATAAAGAAGGTGCAATTTCTCTCATTTACTGATTCCATTTTTTCCATTTCTTCCTTAGCATTTATTTTAAGTTCACATATACATTACATATTTATTGTGTATACTTTAAATTTTGTCTTCCACGAATGCTCCAAGACAGCAATGAATCTTGTCTGTTTTGTTACCGCGTCACCAAGGCCAGTGTGTGCAGTAGGCACTCAATATTTATTTTTAGAATGAAAGATGAAGGAAGAAAGAAGGGAGGAAGTGAGCCAAGGAGGCTCAATCTTGACCAGTGCGATTTCATGTTGTGAACCAGTAGCGCAGTGCTATGAACTGGTAGAGTTTAATTGGATGGTCTGGAAATCTTTCTGAATTAATGATATTTTTAGTGATCCCCCTTTGAAGTTCATCAACTCGTCATTATCAGATAGTCAATGATGACCTTCCTTAATTTTTAGAGAGGAGAGTAACGTACCACATAACAACAATTCTCACATAAGGCATTGCAAGTTACAGTCATGTAGTAAGAAATTTTCTATTAATAATAATTAAAATAGTTAAGTGTGTGAATGATTTACTTTTTAAAAAATAAAGTAAAGCAAATAAAAGAATATCCCTCCAACACACACCATTCTCATTCACACACTGTTATATTTTCAAGACAGATGGAAGTTCAGAGGAACTGTATACATAATGCTGGATTCATCCATCTGAGTCCATTAAACAAGTCAACTTCCTTCATATACGTTCTTGTGGAAATAGAAAAGTGAGAATTACTGATGTGTCTTCCTATGTACTAATCTGCCCTGTAATAGAGCTATTTCAGAGAGAAATTGTACGAGTTCCATAAGTCTCCTGGATTGCCTAAGTTATAATAGAAATGAAAAATGTGGGGAAAAATGGCCAAGTGTAAATGAATTGGCCAGGGTTCATAGAAGATTTCCATAACTTGATTCAGGTCTGAAATAAAAAGAACAATATTTTCCTCTGAAAAGTGTATCGAAAACCTGCCTGAGATTTTAATATAAAATCATGTCTAGGGCAGAGAAGAAGCTGCCCAATATATTGACATAAAGACTATATCTGGTACGATGAATGGAAATTGAATAGCATCAGACCAAATTCGCTGTGCTTATGCCTTTTCTGATTTGTACTTTGTATCCAAGAAAATATTACTTTATCTTATATGAGATGTTTTGCACATTTGAGGGTAATGTGCACAAATGTTTTGCACATTTGAGGGTAATGGGTGTGTGATAGTGTATGTGTGTTAAGAGAGATACAGAAAGCATAGAATGTAATTAGCTAAAACAAAGTACATTTCCAGTTTGCATGAGAATAAAATATTTGTGAAAGATTTTGATAAAATCAAACGTTGGATATAATAAGGAAAATTGTTTTTTAACTTTCTGGAGTAGAATATTTCTAAAGTGTATTCTAAAATGACAAGTTTTCCAGGAAATGCTGATGTGTAAATGTTAGGTGTTTGTAAATGTTAGGTATTCATTTTCCAGGAAATGCTAAGATTTGTAAATGTTAGGTATTCCAAAAATCTCATATGTAAAGAAAATAAAGTGCATTTTATATTATAGTATTTTTGATTCGTTTCTGCTATAAGAAACAGAAAATCTAAATGATAATAGCTTAAACAAGATAGGAATTTATTTCTCTTACATAAAAGAAATCTGTAGGTTTGCAATTCAGGACTGGAATTATTCTCGATGGTCTCTGGAAGCCAAGGTCCTTTTGCTTGTTTATTTGCTTTGTTATTCCTCTTGCCTGCCATTTTTACACATGGCTTCCACATCATGGTCCAATATAGCCTCATGAGCTCCAACCAATATGTCTACATTCCAGCCTACATGAAGGAGGAAGGGGCAATGGAGAGTCTACCTTTAATTTTAAGGACATGCTGGAAGTCACATATACTAATTCAACCTATATCCCATAACCCAGGCCATTTCTATTGCAAGGTAACCTGAAAAATGTAACCTGACAACCTTCCTCATCCTGGGAAGCCATGCTCCTAGCTTAATACCAGGGGGACCATTACATTCAAGGCAGAATGGATATTTGAGCACAACTGGTAGCTTTTGATACACAATCTAAATATACTTAAAATCACAAGATGAAAGTGTAGCCATTTCCTGCCTCATAAACAAATTTAGGATTCTCTATTGTCATTCTAGTTTGCATTGCAACAAATATCTTTATTTCCGTATTGGAAATCTAAATGCACATTTAAGCAAAAATTCTTTTTTTTTTTTTTTTTTGGAAATGGAGTCTTATTCTGTCACCAGGCTGGAAGTGCAGTGGTGCAATCTTGGCTCACTGCAAACTCCACCTCCGGGGTTCAAGCGATTCTCCTGCCTCAGCCTCCCGAGTAGCTGGGACTATGCCATGCGCCACCATGCCCAGCTAATTTTTCTATTTTTAGCAGAGACGGGGTTTCAGCATATTGGCCAGGCGGGTCTCGAAATCCTGACCTTGTGATCCACCTGCCTCTGCCTCCCAAAGTGCTGGGATTACAGGCGTGAGCCACCATGCCCGGCCCAAAAATTGTTATATGTGTATCAAAAACAATAGAGCTCTAGAATTTTCTTTAAAACTTTGTATTTGGAAGTTTAGCTTTATACAAATGTTTCAAAGATAATACACAAAGTTTTCATAAACCATTCACCAAGTTTCCCCATCATTGCGCCACCATGGCACATTTGTCACAGCTGAAAACTAACACTGATACGTTAATAACCAACTGAATACTTTTTTTTTTTGATATCGCTGGATTTTTTTTGTTGGTATCATTTTCTCTTCCAGCTCTAACCCAGGATACCACACGACATTTAGTGTCACATCTTCTTAGTTTACTCTGGTCTGTGACAGTTTTTCAGACTTTCCTTGTTCTTCTTGACCTTGACAGTTTGAGGAGTACAGTCAGGTTATTTGGTGAAACAACATTCAGTTTGAGTTTGGCTGATAATTAGACTGGGCTATGTGTTTTGGGGAAGAGTACCGTAGAGGTGAAGTGACTGGCTTATCATATGCATAAAGTGCATGTCTTAAAATATTTAAATAAGTAAAATGCAGCGGAAATAACAAATTTGACCTCATTTAATATATTTACTGTCTAGCTTAATAAAATATCTTATTATAAGAAGAGTCTTGTGGAGCATAATACAAAAATCTATTTTAATTCTAGTATACAATCCTGATATTTACAAAGTACAGTCTGATATAATTTTAAGATACTTTTTTACATAACAAAAAGACCAAAAATTGAAGTATATGATGTTTAGAATAATACAATGCTGAAATGGTTTAAATAACTCATTGTCATAAATAGTTTATGTATTGCTCTTTTAATGTTTATTTTTGTTAATTTTCTTACTAAAGAAACTTTTCAGAAATACCTAAGGGCAAAGTAATTAGTCAAAGTGTGCTCGAATTATTATGTGTTTTATATTAAGATATTCAAATCATCTACAGTATCCTTCTTCTCCTAATCATTACTAACATTGTATAAGTTCACTTCTCCTAGTCTTATCTCCATAATGCAAGCATTTTTAGATGATAACTAGAGATTCAGGTAGACAGTGTTTTGTCCAATTGCTTTTTTCAGAAATATACAAGTCAATGTAGTAATTACTCTTTATCATTGCTGAAAATCAATGAAGAATCAAGGTTTTTCTTGATCTCTGTAAATCAGATAATTTTGTGATGACACCTGGATATAAGGTGAAATGTCTCAAGTGCTCATTGTGCATAATGTATGCCCTTGGTTAAGGTTACTACACAAAAGTGAATATTTCCATATTGTTTTAAGATAGTATAATTCATACTTAAGAAACAAAAAAACTGACAGCCTTAAAGGTTAAGTATAGTTATAACCATGCTTGTTGATCTAAAAATATTATTTTCTTTTACCACTAATCTTTAGTAAATAAAATATAAAATTACCTATGCAAAGAAAAAAATCACAGGATTTACAAAAATGTTCATATCTATATCAACATTTTATACCTGACCAAACACCTTGACAGCCTGAAATATGACACATTTTCCTTTTCTGTTAATTTTTTTTTTTTTTTTTTTTTTTTTTTTTTTTTTTTTTTGAGACGGAGTCTCGCTCTGTCGCCCAGGCCGGACTGTGGACTGCAGTGGCGCAATCTCGGCTCACTGCAAGCTCCGCTTCCCAGGTTCACGCCATTCTCCTGCCTCAGCCTCCCGAGTAGCTGGGACTACAGGCGCCCGCCACCGCGCCCGGCTAATTTTTTGTATTTTTAGTAGAGACGGGGTTTCACCTTGTTAGCCAGGATGGTCTCGATCTCCTGACCTCATGATCCACCCGCCTCGGCCTCCCAAAGTGCTGGGATTACAGGCGTGAGCCACCGCGCCCGGCCCCTTTTCTGTTATTTTTAAACTTCCTTGAGAACTGCATTGCTCATGTATTTTCTATATTGAGTACTTTTATCTCAAAATACCGTTATATTATAAGAAAACATGAGGTAAAGGATTACAGCCCTTTTGGTATCTCCAAAAACACAGTCTTGTAAAGTGACAGTCGATTACTACATTAATAGACTTCCTTCTTCTTTTGTGTTGGTCGACTAGTAAAGCATTTGGATATCCAACATCTCTTGACTTTACAGAACATACAAATAATATATAAATAGAACTGTATAACATTCTTGGGAATTAAATATGCTTTAAAAAAGAATGATGCACCGGACACAGTGGCTCACGCCTGTAATCCCAGCACTTTGAGAGGCTGAGGTGAGGGGATCACTAGGTCAGGAGTTTGAGACCAGCCTGGTGAATATGGTGAAACCTCATCTCTACTAAAAAAAAAAAAAAAAAAAAAAAAAAAAAATACAAAAATTAGCTGGGCTTGGTGGTGGGCGCCTGTAGTCCCAGCTACTCTGGAGGCTGAGGTAGGAGAATCACTTGAACCCGTGAGGCAGAGGTTGTAGTGAGCCGAGATCGCGCCACTGCACTCCAGCCTGTGCGACAGACCAAGACTGTGTCTCAAAAAAAAAAAAAGGATGAATTATTTAAAAAAATAAAAATAGTCACATGACAAATGAAGTCTTATCATTTGCAAACATCCACTTATTTCTCAGCCACTCCTTGTAAAGCACTTCTTGACCTTGTTCTGTGTATGTGAACAAGTCTAATCCAGTTTTCTCATGTAAACACATAGTGCTGTACACTTTATATAACTTCTAATTTTCTTCTTAATACATGTAAGGTTAAGAATATTCAACAATATTTACAGTTAGACTTTAAAAGCAGAAGTGTACTTATAGGGGCGCAGTACTTCCATTCCTTCTCAAGGGGGCAGAATAGTATGGAGTTGCCAGGTTAGCAGCCAGTGGGCTGACAGCTGGTGTATCTCAGTTTTCCTTCACTTGACTTCTTATTCTCCAACAGCCTAGCAGAAAGAGAGGAAGGTGCAATGTGCAAGCATTTTCAAATCTCTGCCAGTAACACATTGCGCCTGTCACATTAGCTAAAAGCAAGTTATGTGGCCAAGCCGGGATTCAAGAGATAAAGAGATAAACGTTATCTCTTGATGGGAGGAGGAGCAAAGTCACTTTACAAAAAGACCTTTATACAAGGATCAGAATAATTTGACGTCATTTTTTGCAATTCACCGCATATCCTCGCCTTTATCCCAGTAGGTCTTAATGCAATCTATAATGCCAGTTTATCACATTAATGGGTGGGCTATAATCATTGAATTTGCCCCAAACAATCATTTAAGCTAGTTTCTGAATTAAATATGAGTTGTCCCTAGAAACGTTTCTTGATCCCAACTCCTTGAGGAATACGTTTCCCAACGTGTAAAAGTTTAGCTCCTGGTTTTTGGATTCCCAATTTAAATGTGTAAGTAGATAAAATGCTAATTAGTAATCTGTTCCTGCCCTTATATAGCATAAAAAATCTAACATCATTTATTTATTACACTAATTCTAAGTTCTTGTTATCTGCCACTTCTTTCAAATGGCGGAAACATATTTTGAGGCTTAAGCTTTGATAAAGGCAAGAATCTTGCTTAGTACAACTAGACCAAAATATCCCACCCATATTTTCCAAAATTAGAAGGACTTCAGAGTTTCTGAAACTGTGGATGCCAAAGGCTAACCATGAGAACCACAGGAATTTTTACAGTAATGACAACATGTTTGACCCAGAGTTTCAGATTTAGCAGTTCAAAATTTCATTTTGTAAGATGTTTTGAAAATGCACTTTTTCTTAGGAAAGCAAATATCAAATAAGTCTTTCTTCTAAATAAATCTATGGTTCCCAGACCATAATTACGTTTTTAAAAATGTGACTTCTAAAAAAAATCTATACAACTTTCAAAAATAATAAGCCTTCTTTTCTTTTCATCTTACTTTTAAAACTATATTAGGCTAGACTTTAGTCTCAAGGAAATGAGTCAACATGTTTAAGTATTTTAGACAGCCTTACATGCATGCGGTGCGGTGGTAAAAATGCTGAAGTTCCTATATATTGCTTTATTTCACAAGTAGACCAGTAAATTTGATTGTGGACAGGGCCAGCAAGGATCAAGCAGTATCGAAGATGAAGATAGATAACTAAGGATATCCTATGGTAAATTTAATCTCTTTTCTGCAAGTCTCTGTGAGTCTGGGAACATATTTACTTGATACAAAAATAGATGCATAGGCCTCTGGCAACCATATTACTTTAATGTAGACATAACTGCAAACAAGGATAATTTCACTTTTTCCTTTCCAATTTGGAAGTTATTTATTTCTTTCTCTAGTCTGCTTGCTCTGGTTAGGACTCCCCATAGTATGGTGAATAAAAGTGGTGAATGTGAGCATCCTTGTCTTGTTCCAGATATTAGAAGAAATGCTTTCAGGTTTTTGCCACTCAGTATAGTGCTAGCTACAGGTTTGTCTTATATGAGTTTTATCATGTTGAAGTATGTTCCTTCTGTACTCAGTTTGTTGAAAGTTTTTATTATGAAGAGATGTTTCATGTTGTCAAATGCTTTTTCATCATTTATTGAAATTATTATATGGTTTTGTCCTTCATTCTGTTGCTATGATGTACCACATTTATTGTTTTGCCTATGTTGAACCATCCTTGAATCCCTACTTGATTATGTTAAATTATATTTTAATGTGATGTGGAATTCTGATTGCTATTATTTTATTCTTGGTTTTTGCATTTACGTTCATCAGAGATATTGCTCTGCTGTTTTCTTTTTATGTTGTCTTTTTCTGGTTTTTGTATCAGAGTAATACTGACCTCATATAATGAATTTGAAAGCATTCCTTCCCCCTTGATTTTTTGGAATAGTAAAAGTAGAACAGGTATTAGTTATTTTTTAAGTGGTGGAACTCAAAAGTGAAGGCATCAGGTTCTGGGCTTTTCTTTGATTAAAAAAAAAACCTTTTTATTACTGCTTCTAGCTCATTGTCTGTTATTGGTCTACTCAGGTTTTGGATTTCTTCATGGTTTAATCTTAGATAGGTTCTATGTGTCTATGAATGTATCCATTTCTTTAGGTTTTGTCTTTTGTTGGTATACAGTTGTTCATGACAGTCTCTAATAATCCTTTAAATTTCTGTATTATCAGTTGTAGTGTCTCATTTTCTATTTTGGATTGATTTGGAGGTCTCTCTTTTTTTTAAATTAGTCTGACCAAAGGTTTGTTGATTTTGTTTATAGTTTCATAAAACCAACTTTCCTTTTTTTGATCTTTTGTATTATTAATTTAGTCTTACTTTGGTCTTTATTTCTGCTCTGATCTTTATCATTTCATTTTTAATTAATTTTTGGTTTAGTTTTCTCTTGGCTTTCTATTTCTTTTTTTATGTATACTTTAAGTTCTGGGATACATGTGCAGAATGTGCAGGTTTGTTACATAGGTATACATGTGCCATGGTGGTTTGCTGCACCCATCAACCCATCATCTACATTAGGTATTTCTCCTAATGCTATCCCTCCTCTTGCCCCTCACCCCTCAACAGACCCCAGTGTGTGATGTTCCCCTCCCTGTGCCCATATTTTCTCATTGTCCAACTCCTACTTACCAGTGCATCACTATGCTATTTATTTGAAGTCTTTCAACTTTTTGATATAGATTATTTATTGCTATAAACTTCCCTTTTAGTACTGCTTTCACTGTATCCTATAGGTTTTGGCAGGTTGTGTTTCTACTTCATTTGTTTTGGGAATTTTTAAAATTTCCTTCTTAATTTCTTCATGATACAGTGGATGTTCAAGAGCATATGGTTTAATTTCCATGTGTTTGTATAGTTTCTGAGTTTCCTCTTGTTATTGATTCCTAGTTTTATTCCATTGTGGTAAAACAAATACTTGATATGACTTTAATATTTATAAATTTTTGAAACTTGTTTAATGGCCCAACATATGGTCCATCCTTGAGTTATGTTCCATGTGCTGAAAAGAAGAAATACTCTTTGGCCTTCAAAAAGAAGGAAATTATGCCATTTATGACAACATGGATAAACCTGGAGTACACTATGCTAGTTGAAATAAGCCAGGCACAGAAAAATAGAAACTGCATAATCTCACTTATATGTGAAATATAAAAAAGTCATACTCATAGGAGAGAGTAGAATGGTTGTGATATAATTATATTAACATTCCTAATTAATATAATGAGAATATTTTTAGCTTTTGTCCAAGTGATAGGATCTTTCAATTCTATTTTTAGATAACCTATATATGCCATCATTATCAGTTTCAATGTCTCGTT
Organism: Homo sapiens; assembly: GCF_000001405.40. Lineage (NCBI taxonomy): Eukaryota > Metazoa > Chordata > Mammalia > Primates > Hominidae > Homo > Homo sapiens. Next base: position 156,374,870 of record NC_000004.12, on the reverse strand, counting down.
TACCGATCTACTCCACATTGTAAACCATTCCATGACAGACAACCCACTTACATCAGAGCTCCTAAAAAAATAGACAGAATTCTTGGTTCAAGCACACAAAGTCTCTATAAATATTTGTGGAGTAGATGAATTATTTCATTCACTAAAGTACAAATGCATAAACTGTTTCAATTCCAAGTAGTTATGTAATATATCATCACACTTTGCGGCCATAGGTAATATATGTGTGTTCTGCCAAAATACCTATACAGTTGCCCGAGTTGCTGGGAATGTCCTAGTTTCTGCTGCAAGAGAACAGATCGACTATATATAACATGAAGAAATTACTTCTGGGATAATTAGAATGTCAAAGAGCCTCCATTACAGAAGAAAACCTCACTTTATGATTTATTCCTGCATTCTATTATCAAACATCCTTTGTAAAAGTCACAGCCTGGGTTTTTACTATCTAATATTTTAATGCTGTTATGTGTGGGTTATATATCTCTTTTTGTTGGGAAGGAAAGAAGATCCTCATCTATCTCAGCTTTCTAGCACATGTTCATTCTCTCCTGGAGGTTCCTGCATGGAAAATGCACATTGTAAATCCTCAGAGTTCAAAGCACTCAAAGAACAAAGGCAACAACTGAAAGCATGACCTGGCTGCCCTGCTAATCCCCACTACCCACTGTGTCTCCTTGCTTGCCCCACCCAAAAGAACAAATAGGAACTTAGTTTTTATTTTAAAAATAATTGAGTCACTTTTAAATTTAACTGCAAAGCCGTGCCTCCTTGTTCTAATTTAATTCATTACTTCTTCGTTCTAGTTATTCATAAATCAAGCCATAATCCACTAAAAGCTTTTAAGTTACTAAATGCTTTAGGTTTAGTTTTCAGTGCATTTTCACATTTTATTCAGATTTGGAGAGAAAAACTTCATATTTGCTTCATCAATGGATGAGCCATTCTCCTTTTCTCACAAAATATTTCATTTAAACTTAAGTAGAAATTTTCAACGTCTGGAGAGATAAGCCAGACTGAGGGCTAGGTTTCTGTGTTGGCACTGTATCATATTGCCAAAGATTGATTTCAAAAGCTTTGCTCATTGTTGTCCTCCTCAAGAATGAACCAAAATGACCTGAACTTTCATTACAAATGGGCATTTCTCCACAATAAATGAGGAAGTAGAGATGAAGCAAATTATTATGAAGGAAAACTTAGGCAGGTGACCCACAAAAAGTGATAGTATAACAAATTTCAGTTGGCAAGCTCTTCAAGAAAACAGAGATCTTTTCTGTTTATTTTCAAATGTGCTAATGTCGCTCCATATCCACAGGCTGCTCACAATACCATTTAAAGGCTGCTTCAAAAAGTAATAGAATAGGCCTTGGGCCTTGGAAAAACATTCTGATGCAATGAACTAAAGGTAAAAAATAGATTCGAAAGGGCATTGCAGCATTAGTTCCAATTTTTTTTTAATAATTATATTGAGGATATATTGAAATAATATTTTGGATATAGCTAGTTATATAAAATACATTATCAAAGTTAATTTCACCTGTTTCTTTTTACTTTTTTCTTTTTTCTTAATTTTCTTTTTTTTTTTATTATTATACTTTAAGTTTTAGGGTACATGTGCACATTGTGCAGGTTAGTTACATATGTATACATGTGCCATGCTGGTGCACTGCACCCACTAACTCGTCATCTAGCATTAGGTATATCTCCCAATGCTATCCCTCCCCCTCCCCCCACCCCACAACAGTCCCCAGAGTGTGATGATCCCCTTCCTGTGTCCATGTGATCTCATTGTTCAATTCCCACCTATGAGTGAGAATATGTGGTGTTTCGTTTTTCGTTCTTGTGATAGTTTACTGAGAATGATAATTTCCAATTTCATCCATGTCCCTACAAAGGACATGAACTCATCATTTTTATGGCTGCATAGTATTCCATGGTGTATATGTGCCACATTTTCTTAATCCAGTCTATCATTGTTGGACATTTGCATTGGTTCCAAGTCTTTGCTATTGTGAATAATGCCGCAATAAACATACGTGTGCATGTGTCTTTATAGCAGCATGATTTATAGTCCTTTGGGTATATACCCAGTAATGGGATGGCTGGGTCAAATGGTATTTCTAGTTCTAGATCCCTGAGGAATTGCCACACTGACTTCCACAATGGTTGAACTAGTTTACAGTCCCACCAACAGTGTAAAAGTGTTCCTATTTCTCCACATCCTCTCCAGCACCTGTTGTTTCCTGACTTTTTAGTGATTGCCATTCTAACTGGTGTGAGATGGTATCTCATTGTGGTTTTGATTTGCATTTCTCTGATGGCCAGTGATGATGAGCATTTTTTCATGTGTTTTTTGGCTGCATAAATGTCTTCTTCTGAGAAGTGTCTGTTCATGTCCTTCACCCACTTTTTGACGGGGTTGTTTATTTTTTTCTTGTAAATTTGTTTGTGTTCATTGTAGATTCTGGATATTAGCCCTTTGTCAGATGAGTAGGTTGCGAAAATTTTCTCCCATTTTGTAGGTTGCCTGTTCACTCTGATGGTAGTTTCTTTTGCTGTGCAGAAGCTCTTTAGTTTAATTAGATCCCATTTGTCAATTTTGTCTTTGTTGCCATTGCTTTTGGTGTTTTAGACATGAAGTCCTTGCCTATGCCTATGTCCTGAATGGTAATGCCTAGGTTTTCTTCTAGGGTTTTTATGGTTTTAGGTCTAACGTTTAAGTCTTTAATCCATCTTGAATTGATTTTTGTATAAGGTGTAAGGAAGGGATCCAGTTTCAGCTTTCTACATATGGCTAGCCGGTTTTCCCAGCACCATTTATTAAATAGGGAATCCTTTCCCCATTGCTTGTTTTTCTCAGGTTTGTCAAAGATCAGATAGTTGTAGATATGCGGCGTTATTTCTGAGGGCTCTGTTCTGTTCCATTGATCTATATCTCTGTTTTGGTACCAGTACCATGCTGTTTTGGTTACTGTAGCCTCGTAGTATAGTTTGAAGTCTGGTGGTGTGATGCCTCCAGCTTTGTTCTTTTGGCTTAGGATTGACTTGGTGATTCAGGCTTTTTTTTGGTTCCATATGAACTTTAAAGTAGTTTTTTCCAATTGTGTGAAGAAAGGCATTGGTAGCTTGATGGGGATGGCATTGAATCTGTAAATTACCTTGGGCAGTATGGCCATTTTCACGATATTGATTCTTCCTACCCATGAGCATGGAATGTTCTTCCATTTGTTTGTATCCTCTTTTATTTCCTTGAGCAGTGGTTTGTAGTTCTCCTTGAAGAGGTCCTTCACATCCCTTCTAAGTTGGATTCCTAGGTATTTTATTCTCTTTGAAGCAATTGTGAATGGGAGTTCACTCATGATTTGGCTCTCTGTTTGTCTGTTGTTGGTGTATAAGAATGCTTGTGATTTTTGTACATTGATTTTGTATCCTGAGACTTTGCTGAAGTTGCTTATCAGCTTAAGGAGATTTTGGGCTGAGACAATGGGGTTTTCTAGATATACAATCATGTCGTCTGCAAACAGGGACAATTTGACTTCCTCTTTTCCTAATTGAATACCCTTTATTTCCTTCTCCTGCCTAATTGCCCTGGCCAGAACTTCCAACACTATGTTGAATAGGAGTGGTGAGAGAGGGCATCCCTGTCTTGTGCCAGTTTTCAAAGGGAATGCTTCCAGTTTTTGCCCATTCAGTATGATATTGGCTGTGGGTTTGTCATAGATAGCTCTTATTATTTTGAAATACGTCCCATCAATACCTAATTTATTGAGAGTTTTTAGCATGAAGGGTTGTTGAATTTTGTCAAAGGCCTTTTCTGCATCTATTGAGATAATCATGTGGTTTTTGTCTTTGGCTCTGTTTATATGCTGGATTACATTTATTGATTTGCGTATATTGAACCAGCCTTGCATCCCAGGGATGAAGGCCACTTGATCATGGTGGATAAGCTTTTTGATGTGCTGCTGGATTGGTTTTGCCAGTATTTTATTGAGGATTTTTGCATCAATGTTCATCAAGGATATTGGTCTAAAATTCTCTTTTTTGGTTGTGTCTCTGCCCGGCTTTGGTATCCGAATGATGCTGGCCTCATAAAATGAGTTAGGGAGGATTCCCTCTTTTTCTATTGATTGGAATAGTTTCAGAAGGAATGGTACCAGTTCCTCCTTGTACCTCTGGTAGAATTCGGCTGTGAATCCATCTGGTCCTGGACTCTTTTTGGTTGGTAAGCTATTGATTATTGCCACAATTTCAGCTCCTGTTATTGGTCTATTCAGAGATTCAACTTCTTCCTGGTTTAGTCTTGGGAGAGTGTATGTATGTGTCGAGGAATTTATCCATTTCTTCTAGATTTTCTAGTTTATTTGCATAGAGGTGTTTGTAGTATTCTCTGATGGTAGTTTGTATTTCTGTGGGATCGGTGGTGATATCCCCTTTATCATTTTTTATTGTGTCTATTTGATTCTTCTCTCTTTTTTTCTTTATTAGTCTTGCTAGTGGTCTATCAATTTTGTTGATCCTTTCAAAAATCCAGCTCCTGGATTCATTAATTTTTTGAAGGGATTTTGTGTCTCTATTTCCTTCAGTTCTGCTCTGATTTTAGTTATTTCTTGCCTTCTGCTAGATTTTGAATGTGTTTGCTCTTGCTTTTCTAGTTCTTTTAATTGTGATGTTAGGGTGTCAATTTTGGATCTTTCCTGCTTTCTCTTGTGGGCATTTATTGCTATAAATTTCCCTCTACACACTGCTTTGAATGCATCCCAGAGATTCTGGTATGTTGTGTCTTTGTTCTCGTTGGTTTCAAAGAACATCTTTATTTCTGCCTTCATTTCGTTATGTATCCAGTAGTCATTCAGGAGCAGGTTGTTCAGTTTCCATGTAGTTGAGCGGTTTTGAGCGAGATTCTTAATCCTGAGTTCTAGTTTGATTGCACTGTGGTCTGAGAGATAGTTTGTTATCATTTCTGATCTCTTACATTTGCTGAGGAGTGCTTTACTTCCAAGTATGTGGTCAATTTTGGAATAGGTGTGGTGTGGTGCTGAAAAAAATGTATATTCTGTTGATTTGGGGTGGAGAGTTCTGTAGATGTCTATTAGGTCCGCTTGGTGCAGAGCTGAGTTCAATTCCTGGGTATCCTTGTTGACTTTCTGTCTGGTTGATCTGTCTAATGTTGACAGTGGGATGTTAAAGTCTCCCATTATTAATGTGTGGGCGTCTAAGTCTCTTTGTAGGTCACTCAGGACTTGCTTTATGAATCTGGGTGCTCCTTTATTGGGTGCATATATATTTAGGATAGTTAGCTCTTCTTGTTGATTTGATCCCTTTACCATTATGTAATGGCCTTCTTTGTCTCTTTTGATCTTTGTTGGTTAAAAGTCTCTTTTATCAGAGACTAGGATTGCAACCCCTGCCTTTTTTTGTTTTCCATTTGCTTGGTAGATCTTCCTCCATCCTTTTATTTTGAGCCTATGTGTGTCTCTGCCTGTGAGATGAGTTTCCTGAATACAGCACACTGATGGGTCTTGACTCTTTATCTAATTTGCCAGTCTGTGTCTTTTAATTGGAGTATTTAGTCCATTTACATTTAAAGTTAATATTGTTATGTGTGAATTTGATCCTGTCATTATGATGTTAGCTGGTTATTTTGTTCATTAGTTGATGCAGTTTCTTCCTAGTCTCGATGGTCTTTACATTTTGGCATGATTTTGCAGCGGCTGGTACTGGTTGTTCCTTTCCATGTTTAGCGCTTCCTTCAGGAGCTCTTTTAGGGCAGGCCTGGTGGTGACAAAATCTCTCAGCATTTGCTTGTCTGTAAAGTATTTTATTTCTCCTTCACTTATGAAGCTTAGTTTGGCTGGATATGAAACTCTGGGTTGAAAATTCTTTTCTTTAAGAATGTTGAATATTGGCCCCCACTCTCTTCTGGCTTGTAGGGTTTCTGCTGAGAGATCTGCTGTTAGTCTAATGGGCTTCCCTTTGAGGGTAACCCGACCTTTCTCTCTGGCTGCCCTTAACATTTTTTCCTTCATTTCAACTTTGGTGAATCTGACAATGATGTGTCTTGGAGTTGCTCTTCTCGAGGAGTATCTTTGTGGCATTCTCTGTATTTCCTGAATCTGAACGTTCGCCTGCCTTGCTAGATTGGGGAAGTTCTCCTGGATAATATCCTGCAGAGTGTTTTCCAACTTGGTTCCATTCTCCCCATCACTTTCAGGTACACCAATCAGTCGTAAATTTGGTCTTTTCACATAGTCCCATATTTCTTGGAGGCTTTGCTCGTTCCTTTTTATTCTTTTTTCTCCAAACTTCCCTTCTCGCTTCATTTCATTCATCTTCCATTGCTGATACCCTTTCTTCCAGTTGATTGCATCAGCTCCTGAGGCTTCTGCATTCTTCACATAGTTCTCGAGCCTTGGTTTTCAGCTCCATCAGCTCCTTTAAGCACTTCGCTGTATTGGTTATTCTAGTTATACATTCTTCTAAATTTTTTTCAAAGTTTTCAACTTCTTTGCCTTTGGTTTGTATGTCCTCCCGTAGCTCAGAGTAATTTGATCGTCTGAAGCCTTCTTCTCTCAGCTCGTCAAAGTCATTCTCCGTCCAGCTTTGTTCCGTTGCTGGTGAGGAACTGCGTTCCTTTGGAGGAGAGGCGCTCTGCGTTTTAGAGTTTCCAGTTTTTCTGTTCTGTTTTTTCCCCATCTTTGTGGTTTTATCTACTTTTGGTCTTTGATGGTGGTGATGTACAGATGGGTTTTTGGTGTGGATGTCCTTTCTGTTTGTTAGTTTTCCTTTTAACAGACAGGACCCTCAGCTGCTGGTCTGTTGGAATACCCTGCCGTGTGAGGTGTCAGTGTGCCCCTGCTGGGGAGTGCCTCCCAGGTAGGCTGCTTGGGGGTCAGGGGTCAGGGACCCACTTGAGGAGGCAGTCTGCCCGTTCTCAGATCTCCAGCTGCCTGCTGGGAGAACCACTGCTCTCTTCAAAGCTGTCAGACAGGGACATTTAAGTCTGCAGAGGTTACTGCTGTCTTTTTGTTTGTCTGTGCCCTGCCCCCAGAGGTGGAGCCTACAGAGGCAGGCAGGCCTCCTTGAGCTGTGGTGGGCTCCACCCAGTTGGAGCTTCCCAGCCGGCTGCTTTGTTTACCTAAGCAAGCCTGGGCAATGGCAGGCGCCCCTCCCCCAGCCTGGCTGCCACCTTGCAGTTTGATCTCAGACTGCTGTGCTAGGAATCAGCGAGACTCCCTGGGCATAGGACCGCCCGAGCCAGGTCGGGATATAATCTTGTGGTACACCGTTTTTTAAGCCCGTCGGAAAAGCGCAGTATTCGGGTGGGAGTGACCCGATTTTCCAGGTGCCGTCCATCACCCCTTTCTTTGACTAGGAAAGGGAACTCCCTGACCCCTTGCACTTCCCAAGTGAGGCAATGCTTCGCCCTGCTTTGGCTCGCGCAGGGTGCGTGCACCCACTGACCTGCACCCACTGTCTGGCACTCCCTAGTGAGATGAACCCGGTACCTCAGATGGAAATGCAGAAATCACCGGTCTTCTGCGTCGCTCACGCTGGGAGCTGTAGACCAGAGCTGTTCCTATTTGGCCATCTTGGCTCCTCCCACCTCCAATTTTTTAAAAAGTGTTTTTTTTTAGAATCCTCTTTAGATGTCAGTTTTAAAATATATTCATTGTTTCTTAGACATAAAGTTAGAGACTCTTTAAAACATTAGAAAAAGAGGATGGGAATATATTTTAAAGTGATAGGTCAAATTTCTTTACAGACCTCATGTTTTTCAGAATTACAATGTTCTGCGTGGATTAATTGATAACAAGTTTTGAAATTTAAAAATTATTGTATAGGAAAATAAACACATACAGATGCATCTTTGGAGTTACTAGCAAAACTTGTTTTCCCTGAAAATAAATGTATGGTCAGAGATCTTGAATTAATATTAAAGTCAATAACTGATGTCTTGCTATTCCTGAGAAGTCACGAAGGGATGAGTTCCAGAAGATCATGGAAAGGCTTAGCCTTACAAAAATGAAGAGCTATGGGGAAAGGAAGGATAAATGCATGTATACATATACTAGTTTCAATAGTATTGAGGAAAGTTTCTGTAGAGAACCTTAAAGAGACCTAACTAGGGCAATGGAAGTGTGAGTGGACCTTGCTATTGAAAACCAGTTGGACATTGTGAAGTTTTAGTACCGCTAACAAAAAGAAAGATGATAATTTGATTCCTCCAATATTTAATTTTTTTTTTCTAGGAAGTTCGGTGGTAAGTTAGAAGAAACATGGATTTGACAATTTCCTCATGAGAGAAAGTTTTGTACAAGGAGATCAAAGCTGATTTAAAAATAAATGGTTGCAAAAGGAGGAGGCAAAAATAAAAAGCGGAAATATCACAGCCAAGATGTCCCTAGGAGGTCAACTCTTAGACATTGCCTGTGTAACTGAGTTACACACATGTGGTGACAGTATAATAACTTTGAGGTTAATATTTCAGAAGACTAATGGTTGTGGGTGGCAACAAGGTATATGAAACACGTAGCTCAACTAGATTGAAGGTGAAGGTCACTAGAGAAAAGAACCTGAAGAAACAGGGAGTGACGTGGCTATAGGGCAGATTTACCAGGTGAAGGTTGAAGTTGTTACGGAGGATAATTTAATTGTTGGTAAGACCCAAAAACATTCAGTGAAGTGGAAGAAGTAATGAGCAGAGCTCATAGAAATGATGAAGTGGAGAGAGGTGATTGCTAAGGCAGAAGGCAGGAGATTAAAAAGCAAGCAAAATAAAATTTTTGAGGAATGAAATGATCTCTTGTGTTTTTGCATACCTCAGGATAAGATACCTTCCTCAAGGTAACAACCCTGTTTTATGCAGATAAATATGAGAATGACTCAAAATTAGAAAAATATTCCCAAAGGAAAAGCACTGTGGTGTGAACATAACAAATATATGTTTGGAGAAACTAACAAATTATGGAGAAAAGAATAAGATGTTTTGGCTGGGCGCGGTGGCTCATGCCTGTAATCCCAGCACTTTGGGACGCCGAGGCGGGTGGATCACGAGGTCAGGAGATCGAGACCATCCTGGCTAACACCAGTAGAGATGGTGAAACCTCATCTCTACTAAAAATACAAAAAATTAGCCGGGCGTGGTGGCGGGCACCTGTAGTCCCAGCTACTCTGGAGGCTGAGGCAGGAGAATGGTCTGAACCTGGGAGGCGGAGCTTACAGTGAGCAGTGATCGTGCCACTGCCCTCCAACCTGGGCAACAGAGCGAGATACTGTCTCAGAAAAAATAAAAAATAAAAAAAAGAATAAGATGTTTTATGAAGAACTTCACAGTTGAGTGAAGGAGCTGGGTGTATCTTGGATGAAAGTAGATACTTCTGTACAAGTGGAGTTCAATTTTAATGAATAGGGGACTTGATAACTCTTCCCGCAGGAATGTATCATTGCTTCACATTTGATTAAATAACTATAAAAAGGCAATGGAGCTATTTGTTGGAGAACTTACATGGACCGTATATAACGAATCAGATGACCATTTTGATGTTCAAGGAAAATATATGATTTTTGGGGTACAAAGAATGTAGTGGCAACTTCTGGAAACTAACACACTACTTCATTTCTTTTGAAGGTCCCACATACAATAGTTAAATAGAAAATTATCACTTTCACATGGCTTCTCAAGTCGTAATTATAGACTTGAGTCTGGGTTGTCTTTCTTCTTCAAGATTATTTTATTTAGTTGTTTTTTTCTGTGAAAAGTTTAATAAAACTAATTTTTATATGAAATGAAATGTTAATACATGATCAAATATCTGCAAACCTCTGTGACTCAGTTTCCTTAATATAAGCAAGAGGAATGGTGCAGTAGAATTTATTGTGTGGCTGCATATTTTTAATGCTAACTTCAAAAAAAGTATTACCTTTAAAAATGTGACCATCCATAAAAACATGTTTAGACTTTAAGACAGAAATCCTTGTCGGTCCTAATTACATGTAAGCAGCAAAAGAAGGAGTAGTAACCATATATAACCAAACATATATTCCAGTTTCCCTGGGGGAAAAAAGAAAAAAAAAAAAAAGTCTTGTTTTTGTGTCTCTCGTATCATGTGATACACTCTTGGCTCTTTCATTTTGAATGACAAAGTGTTCTAAGCAACTAATTGAATTGTATGTGAATGGATATTATAAGGTTAGGATTCCTTATCGTGGCTAGTTATATTTTTTCCTGGTTCTTTTAATTATTATTATTTACATACTTTGTATTATAGGTATTTAATAAATTAGTGGAATACTATTTCAATTTTCTTCCTGTATGAGATTTCTAAGGTAATTCTGTCTGATAATTACCTTTTTCATGAAAAAGAATGATATGTAGGAGCAAACTTTTTTCTCAAATATTCTCAAAAACAATTCTTCAGTATTTGATAGAAATCTTATTGAGGTCATTTTTTGTCCGGAGATATGAATTTGTGTCCTTCTGCCTCCTCATTGCCTATCTGTAAACTTCATAGTATTCTTTAGGAACATTATTATTTATATATTAGCAATCAATATTTACATAGTTATTGATATTAATCTTATGTATTAATTAATATTATATTAGGCCAATATTTCTTATAATTTTAAAATTTAGATAAAAGTTTTGCCTTGTTTCAATATCATAAAGATATTTTCCTATGTAATTTTTCATTGAATTTCCTTATATTTAGAATTTTCTATGTCTCATTTAGATCTTTCAACCCTCTCTACTTCATCCTTGTATAGGAAAGAAGATAAGCATAAAATTTAATTTTGTCCATGTAAAAGACATAATTTCCAAAACCATCTGAAAAGATGTTATGTCTTTTTTTCAGAGATATTTGATAACAGCTTTATCACAGGTCAAACTTCTGTTAGTACACAAGTAAGTTTCCGACCCCTCTTTCTTGTTGTTTTAGTCTAGTTGTCTGGTCCTACGTCAGTGTTTTTCGTTCCTTTGTTTTACATTTTTATTACTATGGCTCTGTAGCAAGTTGTGTGCTCTCTTACTACAAGTGCCCTCTCTGATCTTTTTTCAAAAAATGACTTAGTTACTCAGGGGCATTTATTATACTTCATGACTTTTAGAATATTTTTGTTGTGTTCCCCAAAAACGTCCTACTACAAGTGAAGCTGTAATGTTTTGGATGGACTGAACTTTGGTTTATGACCTCCTTCACTTCCCCATGTCTGCTGACACCTACTGCCCTGGACTATTGTTGAGACATTCCTCTGCTCTAAAAGATAATATATACATTCGAATCATGGAATTCTAATGATCCTATATTACAGCCACACTAAGAAGAATTTTAAGTTAACATTAAGGGAACAATGTTGAAAGTGATGACTCCTTTTATTACTGTTTAAGTAATAGAATCAGAATGATGCTGGTTGTAGAATGCTCAGCTTGTATTTGACAAACACGGTCGGGAATATTTCATATTTTGGAAAGAAACGTATAACATCCTCTATTTTTTTCTTCATTTACACTGCTGGCCTCTCTGCTTCTTTGATCTGGGGTTGTGTCCATTGAAATTTCAATGTTGAATAGAGGATATACAATATGCTAAACTACAGTCTTTAAAAAGAAAACTTATTAGTACAAGTATGATTAGAATGGAAACCACCCAATCTGACATGGAAATATCCTTCCCATTTGAAACCATATCATGCAATTTTGTTTTGAGATCATTTTTATTTCTGTTAAATCCATTCCTTGTGTTATCTTCACATTTGATCAAAATTATCATTGAGCATGTTTGATCAAACACTGAGTATTTTTTAATTCTAGCACAGCTATTTTTGAGGAATAGATGATAGGAGTTGTGTCTCATATGTTGTTCTTTCCTACATGAATTCAGGTTAGAGACAGAAGCAAACACAGACAAGACGAGATTCAGGAGAAACAAGTTTTTTGTTAAATCATGTAAAGAGAAATCCAAATCCAAATACTAAATGAAAGAAAATTATATTTATGCAGCATTTTAGAAAATGTTTGCGGAAAATGGTCACATTTACCCCAAGGCAGAGTGAATCAGCACTTTGGTGTTTTAGCTAATGAAAACATTAGAATGTAGTGACATATTTGTGGTGACAAATTGATCTGTTTGCCTGTTTATATTAACCACTGCCTCATGGGAAATGATCACATCAACTGCTTTGGAAAACAAGTTTTCATCATTAGTATTTTCTTACTGTCAGTGACAATTGTTAGGTTCCATTTTTGTTCCTTATAAAGTTCTTAGCTCTAACCTATGTGTCTATACATAAGAAATATAAAATTACATGGATGCATAGAGAACATTGCCTTCAATAATATTAAACCTTATATAACAAATACTTGACTTGCTTCATTATGTCAATATGTTTTTGCCTATATAATTATTTCTATATTGAAAATAAAAATAAGAGAGAGTAAATAATTAATTAATAAAAATCTTCACTTTGAATTTAAAGAAAAATAGAGGATCAGGCAAAACTTACTGTATAAACACCTGCTCCTTTCAGGATGTACTCTTTTGTTTTTTTGTTTGTTTGTTTGTTTTGATTTTTTTGTTTTTTGCTATGTTAAGTAATAAATCTGGTATGAAACAGCTAAAATCTGACTTTCTTCTCTAGAATAAGAGAACATGCCTTTCAACGAAATAAAAATGTGGAATTGATGTATTTTACTTCTTTTTTTATAGCTATATCATGTACATGAAGACAAGAAAAAACCTTAAAATGGAAAATGTTAACCTTTTAAATAAAATATTAGAGCTTATGAGGGCTAATAATTCTGCTGTTTTAAAATTTTGGTCAAGTATGTTAGCCATATACTTAGCCTTACAGTTTCAAAATCACTCTACTCTTGAGTCTCATTTGAATTTTATTCTTTCTGTAATTAACACTAATAAGTACCTATGTGTACATAGAAAATTTTATTTTTAAAAAGTTTTTATGAAAAATAATATAACGATTCATTTAGAGTATATTGAGAAATAAAGCTAAGAGTAATTTAAGCCTCACACTCAACCAGAAATCTAAATGCCAGCTTATTATTTTTAAGACTCTCCGTTTAAGAATCAACCTGTTTGAACATTGCTAAAAATGGGTAAGGGTAAACAATGGGTAAGGATAAACCTATTTCATTTTTCTAGCATTTTCTCTTGACTTTAGAAGATCATGTTTTAAAATATTACAGTTGAATATAGAATGACATACATCATGGCTGTGCATATTTATTTTTTATTATAATTGTCTGCTTTCCACTCACCCCCAATAACAAAATGGCAGGCAACTGCCTGGATGGTCAAATAGCTCTAGGAAACAAGGTAGTTTCACCCCTTACTGAAAATCTACTACATTGGCAAAATATAGAGGTAATTTGAAGGACAGAAACAAAACAGAAGGCAAACATCGGTTCTTCTCATATGATGTGAAGTTATAATTATTGTCTCATAAAAATATTAGCTTTGAATACCATTAGGAAAGTATGATAAACAATACTTATTTAGTGAGATCTATGCAAAATTGAGAAATCAAGTGCCCCATAGCCCAATCATCCCTCCATCCTTTTTTCTTGAAATATGACTTACCCACCTTTATCTTTTCACATTCAATTATTTACAAACATTCTGACTCGTTTCATCCAGTTTCCTCTCAATATTTTGTTCTTCAGCTTTCACTGAAGTTAAAACTGCTTTTACATCAGACACATATGATTTAGAATCACCAAATTCAAGGACCTATTTTCTCTCTGAATACCCATCAGTCTCTAGAGGCATTTGACACTGTTTAAACTGGGACTTAATCTATCACCTAAGGCCCATTACTTGTATAAAAGCATTAAACAAGTTCCATCAGTTTTTTCTTTGCAACATTTTTCTCATGTCTTTTTCAAAAACAATGGGAATATCTTGGTCCTGAAAGTCACCTGAATTATTGTAAATATCTCCTGGCTAATATTTCTGGTTTCCTTCATCTCCTTCCATTCTTTAAACAATTCATAAATATGATTAGGATACAATGACAAATATTTTCTCCAGAGTTTCTCATGATGGGTTGAATTTTAGCTCATTAACTCAATCCAATATTTTACTCAAAGAAAATACTTGATTAAAACTAACCAGCATCTTGCCCAACTTACTATTCATATAGATTAAATTTATATGTCAACATATTTAGATGTATGTATCCTAGATAGATAATATTTTCCTGTTAACATAGCAAGGTGGCCTTTGGCAGCCAGGGTATTGGCTCCTGCTCTTAGGACACATAGTTGTTTTAAGTCATATAAAGTGATGAAGCCTCTACATGTATAAGGTGAAGAAAGATGTGAAGTCCCAAAAGCAGAGGGCTCGTTTGTAGAACAGAATAGTAGAGTAGAAATGTAATATTTTACCCCTTGTTGCTTTTCCAGTTGCTGATTATTTGAAAATTAATGGTGGTAACTCATGCAAATCATATGAATTACGCACAAAGAACAAACTAGAAGAAAATGTACCAATACTTAAGAGTTAGAAAATAATTTTAATATTCTCTTTAATACTTTGCAGTATTTTAAATTTATTACAATTATGGACATATTGGGTTTTTTATAGCTAGGAGTAAAATATGCACATTGATTAGATGTTTTGTAAGTGAGAAACCACAATTTTATAAGCTATAGTGCCTCTCCCCACAGCAGCTGAGCAATTGAACCAATTTAGCAACTGAAGTTACTTATTGCTTTACATATTTTAAATGGACTTTTTAAGAGCAGAATCTGATTTTGAATATATAAAACAATAGACTTAAACTACTTCAATACTCATAGAAATCTTATAACTTATTATCAGAGAAATATAAACATATTATGGGAAAAGAGAATTAGTGAACCTATTTCAATATCAATGATTTATCCATCTTGTCCACATTTTATAGATATAGATAGATTTATTGGCTCAACTAAATTTTTTCCAAACATATAATTATGTTTAAGTAGATATTTTAAATTCTGTAAGAAGTAGATGGTCTTTTAGTAATGATAATTTTTTATCTTACCGTTAATCCAAGTTATCTTTTTTATTACATTTGCTTGATTTCATATTACCATTGCAATATTGAAAATTCTAAATGCATCATTCTTACAATTTCAAACATTATTTGAGCCTTGAAGAAAAGGGAAAAATCCTAAAACTCATCTCTTAATTATATATAAAAACTGAATTTTGGCTAGGCACAGTGGCTCACCCCTATAATCCCAGCACTTTGGAAGGCGAAGGTGGGTGGATCACCAGAGGTCAGGAGTTGAAGACCAGCCTGGCCAACATGATGAAACCCTGTCTCTACTAAAAATACAAAAAATTGGCTGGGCGTGGTGGCAGGCACCTGTAATCCCAGCCACTTGGGAGGCTGAGGCAGGAGAATCACTTGAACCCGGGAGGTGGAGGTTGCAGTGAGCCTAGATTGTGCCACTTCACTCCAGCCTGGATGTCAGAGTGAGACACCGTCTCAAAAAAAAAAAAAAAAAAAACCAAAAAACTGAATTTTAAAATCTAAGCATTCTTTTGTCTTCCATAATTTTCAAGATTTAAGATATATTAGGAATTTGTCATAATTATTCAACTATTGAAGAACGAAATCTTGAAAGTATATAAACTCAACAGCCACTACATGATTTATTTTGCTTATTTTACTAAGTCCTTCTAGATTAGCTCACTTTAAATATTTTTTCTTTCCAATTTCTGTCCATTCTCTTTTTCCCAGTTACATACATTTTTATTTCATTCAACTATTAGTTCTGTAAGTTATAATGGAAAAACATATATCATTGTAAAGAGTGGATCATACTGTTTGTCTGATCATTTTATAATTTAGTCCAATGGGTTCAAATTCCTCCACATATGTAGCTTTAAGTCCTATTTACCATACCATTTGAAGGACTGATCACTTTCTTCATTTTGTTTTCTTTTCTGTCAATCATCTCAGAATGTTATGAACCTTTTCATATTAATAATTGATAATACAGACTTCTCAGTTGTATCTATTATATAGTGATAAATTTATTCTCAGTAAAATTATTTTTCTTCTGATTACTCTATTACTCATTTACTTAATGTTAAAGAAAACATCTTAAAGGCAGTTAGATAAAAATGTCGGATCATACACAGAGGGAACCCCATCAGGCTAACAGTGGATTTCTCAGCAAAAACTTTGTAAGCCTGGAGTGATTGTGGGCATATTTTCAGCATTCTTCAAGAAAAGAAATTTCAACCAAGAAATTAATATCCCACCAAACTAAGTTTCATAAAGCAAAGAAGAAATAGTTTCCAGACAAGCAAGCATGAAGATAATTCATTACCACTAGACTAGCCTTACAAGAGATACAAGAGAACTAAACATGGAAACTAAAGAATGATACCTACTACCAAAAAAAAAAAAAAAACACACTTAAGTACATAGCCTACAGACCCTGTAAAGTAACTACACAATAGAAACTACAAAGCAACTAGCTAACAACATCATGATAGGATCAGAATCTCACATATCAATATTAATGTGGAATGTAAATGGTCTACATTCCCCACTTTAGGGACACAGAATAGCAAATTGGTTTTAAAAAAAGAGACCTATCCACCTGCTGTCTTCAGGAGACTCATCTCACATAGAACAACACCACTAAGCACAAAGTAAGGGTTGGAGAAAGAGTTACCATGCAAGCAGAAAACAAAAAACAGCAGGGATCACAATTCTTGTGACAGATAAAATAGACTTTAAACTGACAATAATAAAAAAAGACAAAGAAAGGGATTACATAACGATAAAGGGTTCAATTCAACAGGAAGACTTATCATATATATATATATATCTCCAACATTGGAACATGTATATTCATAAAACAAGTATTGCTAGACCTATGAAAAAGCTTAAACAGCCATGCAATAATAGTAAGAGACTTCAACACCTCACTGTCAGCATTAGACAGATCATTAAGGTAGAAAACTAACAAAGAAATTCTGGATTTAAACTTGATGCTTGACCAATTGTACCTAATAGACATCTACAAAATACTCTCTGCATCAACCACACATATACATTTCTCTCATTTGCACACAGAACACACTCCAAAATTGATCACATGCTTGGCCATATAGTAAGTCTCTAGCAAGCCTCAGACCAGATGGCTTCACCGCTCAATTCTACCAGAAGTACATAGAATAAATTGTACCAATTTTGCTGAAACTACTCCAAAAAATGGAGGAAAAGGAACTCTTCACTCACTCATTCTACAAAACCAGCATCACCCTGATCCCAAAACCTGGCAAAAATACAATGAAGAAAAAAAACTACAGGACAATATCCCTGATGAACATAGATGGAAAAATCTTCAACAAAATACTAACAAACCAATTCCTACAATACATCAAAAAGTTAATTCACCATGATCAAGTAGATTTCATTCCTGGGATGCAAAGTTGACTCAACATATGCAAAGCAATAAAAGTGATTTACCACATAAACAGAATTAAAAACCAAAACCATGTGATTGTCTCAATAGACAGAGAAAAGCTTTCAGTAAAATCCAACTTCCCTTCATGATAAAAACCTTCAAGAAACTAAGCATCAATGAAACATACCTCAAAATAGTAACAGTCTATGACAAACCCACAACTAACCTTATATTAAATGGGCAAAAACTGGAAGTATTCTCCTCGAGAACTGGAACAAGACAAGGATACTCACTCCCACCACTCCTACTCAGTATAGTACTAGAAGTGCTAGTCAGAGCAATCAGGCAAGAGAAAGAAATAAAAGGCACTAATGATTCCACCAAAAGCCTCCTGGAACTGATAAACGACTTCAGTAAAGTTTCAGAATACAAAATCGATTTACAGACATCAGTAGCATTTCTGTACACTAATAACATTCAAGCTGAGAGCCAAATCAAGATTGTATTTTCCTTTTCTTTGTTAAAATGGCAATAGTGCCCAAATAAATCTACAGATTCAATGCTATTCCTACCAAACTGCCAAGGGCATTTTTCACAGAACTAGAAAAAACTATTCTAAAATTTATATGAAACCAAAAAAGATTCTGAATAGCCTAAATAATCCTAAGCAAAAGAATAAAGCCACAGGCATCACATTACCTGACTTCAAACTATACAGTAAGGCTACAGTAATCAAAACAGCATGGTACTGTAGAAAAACAGACACATAAACCAACAGAACAGAGAACACAGGAATAAAGCTGCACAGCTACAAGCATCTGATTTCCAGCACAGTTGACAAAAAGAAGCAATAGAGAAAGTACTTCCTATTCAAAATGTAAGACCTCAGAAATACAAGAATCCTAGAATAAAAGCTTGGAAGCACCATTCTGGACATTGGCCTTGAGAAAGAATTAATGACTAAGACTTCAAAAGCAATTTCAACAAAAATTGACAGGTGAGACCTAATTAAACTAAAGAGTTTCTGCTCAGCAAAAGAAACTACCAAAAGGAAAACAGACAACCTACAAGAACAGGAGAAAATATTTGCAAAACTGTACATCCAACAAAGGTCTAATATCCAGGATCTATAAGAAATTTAAACCAACAAGAAAGAAAAACAACTCCACTAAAAATGGGCAAAAGCCATGTACAACACTTCTCAAAAGAAGACATACAAGTGGCCAAAAACATACTCTACATCACTAATCATCAGAGAAATGCAAATCAAAACCACAATGAGATTTCATCTCACACCAATCAGAATGGCTATTATTTAAAAAGTGAAAAAAAAAAAGAAACAAAACTAAAACAGCAGATGTTGGCAAGGCTATAGAGAAAAGGGAACACTTACAGACCATTGTTGAGAATCTATATTAGCTCAACTTCTGTGGAAAGTAATTTGGAGGTTTCTCAAAGCACTTAAAACAGAGCTATCATTTGACCTAGCAGTCCCATTACTGGGTATATAGGCAAAAGAAAATAAGTAATTCTTCTAAAAAGACACATGCACTCGCATGGTCATTGAAGTACTATACACAATAGCAAAGACATGGAATCAACCTAGGTGCCCATCAGTGGTGGACTGGACAAAGAAAATGTGGCACACATACACCAAGAAATACTATACAGCCATAAAAAGAATAAATCTTGTCCTTTGTCACAACATGAATGCAGCTGGAGGCCATTATCATAAGTGAAATAACACAGAAACAGAAAACCAAATACTGCATTTTGTCACTTACAACTGAGAGCTAATGATCAAGTTCTCATGGACATAAAGATGGCAACAATGAAAACTGGAGATTACCAGAGAGGGGAGGGTGGAAGTGGGACAAGGGTTGGAAAAGTAACTATTGGCTACTATGCTCAGTACCTGGGAGATGAGATTACAAGCATCATGCAATATACCAAGGTAACAAACCTGCACATGTACCCTCTGAGTCTAAAATAAAAGTTGAAAAAAATAATAATAAATACAACTATAAAACATTGTTGAGAGGAATGAAATGTTATATAAATAAATGTAGGAATATATACTATAAAACTATTATACCTAGCAGAAATGGCACAGACATGACCAAAGCCTAAAACTAGACAGTAGCAGCCCTGGATGCTTCCTGGACTTTCTTTTCAATACCAGAAGCTGAAGGGATTTTCCACCAGGGTGGAGCTGATGTCATATATGATAGAGTTCTAGTGATAAGTTATTAATAAACTGTACTGTGATGATGGCATAGACCAATTATTTTTACATTTGACACTATATTATTTATAATTTCTTAGGAAAAGATACCAAAGGATAAAAGACACACGAATGTGTATGTGCACACACACACACACGCACACATTTACATGTTTACGTATCTAGGATGAAAGTTTTCCCTTTTTATTCAGGTCTTATGGAGCTCCATGAATCAGATTTTCAAATAGAAAACTGTTTTGTTCCTGATCATTTTGATAGTCTCTATTATATTGGTGGATTCCCAGTGAAAGCTATAGTTCTCCAAGGAGCTATTTTCATGCTCAGATGATTTGGCCCTGGATAATTCTCTTTACGACATATATAAGACTAAGAGTTTGAAATAATTTTAATGAAGAATTCCATCTGGTACATAAGTTAATTTTCAATACCAGGAACTTATGATTTACCGTTACATATTATTAGAGATAATGTTTATTGTGTTCCTACTATGCACCAGGTACAGAAGGTTATCAAATCACATTCTCTTCACAGGGTAGGTGCTGTTATTTTTGTTTTACTTTTGACACAACTGAGATTGAAAGAGGATGAATAACCTACCCAAGGCTATACAGCAAGTGTCTGATTGACTTTACTCAAACGTCCTCTTATTTGTATGCCTTGGTTTATGTCTTTCATAAAGCTGAATTTTAGATTATGTTTTATCATAACTCTGAAATGACTCTTCTTATTTCTGCTGAAAACTCAGTGGAGCTTCAAAGACAAATATTCCCTCATATATGTAGAAAGGCCATACCAAAATAATTAAAGCAAGTGAAAGCTAAAGTAACATTTCTGTTTTTTATAACAGCCAGATACAGAAACATGGTTCAGAGTAAAAGTTAAAGGAATCCACTACTGGAGCTAACATATTTGTCAAAACTGTCCACTCACTCACCAATAACAAAAGTCTCCACAAGAGGTACTTGTCAAGTAAGACTTACAGCACAGACAAACAGAATAAATTTGGTCTTCTAAAACAAGACTATTCCCAAAAGACACCACGACTTTTCAATCTATTCTTTTTGTAAAAGTAACATTACTAACAATGCTGGTTCTTGCCACCACCTTTCCAGAGGAAGAGTGAGTGAATGACCATAATCTGGTCAGAAGATCCTCAGTCCAAGAAACCAGAGGTCCTTTACAAAAATATACTTCTTACTGTAAATGTTAAAAAAAAAAAAGCAGTATATGGGCAGGGCATGACAGCTCATGTCATAATTCCAGCACTTTGGGAGGCTGAGGTGGGAGGATTGCTTGAACCCAGGAATTCGAGGCCAGACTGGAAAACATGATGAGACTCCATCTCTACAAAAAACTTAAAAATTAGCTGGGCGTGGTGGTGCACGCCTGTGGTCCCAGCTGCTTGGGAGGCTGAGGCAGGAGCCTAAGAGATCTTGAGCCTAAGAGATCACAAGAGATCACAGCTGCAGTGGGCCATGTTCACACCACTGCACTCCAGCCTGGATGACAGAGCAAGATTCTGTCTCAAAAAAAAAAAAGAGGCATTATGGTTATAATTATCTAATTACTTCCTAATTATTTTTTATTCTCTAGAAATTAAGTTTACACAAAATAAGTTTTCATCCTACTATGAAGTTACTTTTTAACATTCATTCTAAATAAAATCGTGTCCAGAGATGGGTGAAATGGAAAACTTCAAAAACTCATCAGATGAACTGGCAATGTTGCCAGCTTAGAGATGATTTATAAATTACTTCTACCTAAAAAATAATGGGCTAAATAATTCAGGTAAAAAATATGTAAAATTCATTAAATTGAAGTCCTTTGACAAGTTACTTGCCTCTCCAGGACTCTGATTTTTATAATTTTAAAAGGTGTCTGACTACATCATCTAAAATAGTAATTTCCATGCGTGTGTGTGTGTGTGAGGGAGTGCTGGCAGAGAGGCTGTGAAATGTGTTACCGCTGACTCTTCTACCATCAGAGTCTCCTGGTTAGCTTTTTTCATACCGCAATCATGCTTTTTGCTCCTCAGAGATTCTAACACAGCCTCCCAGATGCACACCTTCTCAGTAAGAGGAGCACTTGTGATCTCTCAGGTTCTCATGGATGATGAGTGTGTGTTTTATCACTTAGACTTGTATGGGTGAGAAAAATACTAAAACCCACCAATACATCTGCACAAAAGTACAACTTCCTTACAATAGTTCACTCCAGGAGGCCCTAAATAAACATTTACCTGAAACACCTGTAGATAACTTAAGAAACCCTTATGAGGATATAAGAAATTACTTGCTCACATGGTGGAATAATTTATGTGAAGTTATGGAAAGTCATAAAACCACAAGTTTTTGTGTGTGTAGGGATATCTGAAAATTAAGCCTAGATCTTTTGTGCCCAGTTCAGACAGATGCTTAGTTTTCCAAAGATAGATTTGAAAAGGATTTACCAGGATGTAACAAATGTGCTGGTAGTAAAATTAATTGCTTTATGCTTTTGATATAATTTTATTATGCTAAGGATATTTCATGAATTAGTAATACTAGCAACAAATTACCAGGTTTTAAAACAAAATATCCAGTGCTATAATGATGTAACATGATAAGATGAACGTTAAGAATGGTAAGGAAGTGACATCTCTCCCACCTATGTGTAGGCAGAACAGCTGTCAAAGACAGTTTCCCTACCTTCTTCCCTAAGGGAAAACATTTTTGTTATTTTGAGACGGAGTTTCGCTCTTGTTGCCCAGGCTGGAGTGCAATGGCATGATCTCGGCTCCCTGCAACCTCCACCTCCTGGGTTCAAGCGATTCTCCTGCCTCAGCCTCCTGAGCAACTGGGATTACAGGCATGTGCCACCACTAGCTAATTTTGTATTTTTAGTAGAGATGGGTTTCTCCATGTTGGTTGGGCTAGTCTCAAACTCCCAACCTCAGATGATCCGCCCACCTCAACTTCCCAAAGTGCTGGGATTACAGGCGTGAGCCACCGTGCCCAGCAGGGAAAACAGTTTAATCTTTGGGAATACCTTCTTTTTGTACATATGTCATATAATTTCATGAATATATTTCTATATAAATCTAGAAAAGGAAAGGGTAGGTGCACTTAAAAATAATAACATAAAAAGAAAAAAGGGAAGAATCACGGCATAGTGATGTTTCTTTTGACTTGCAGTCAACAAAAGATTTGTATTCTATAAAACGTAGTTGGTTATATCATAATAGCATAAGAAGGCAAACTTCAAGTAAGATATTGATTATATAAGACATTTGGTTATATATTGAAATTTGTCAGTGCTGTTGAAGTACATAGAGGATTCCCCTATAGCTACTTTTTAGTGAAATGGAATTACACAGGATATGAATAAGATGTTATAAAGGTGGAGAAGGAAGGGAACAACTGATCTCTGAATAAATAAAATGCCATTGGTTAAAGTGAGTCTGTATGGTGTCTCTAGCCACTTTTTAACATTTAAGATAAAAACAAATATTTAATAAGTGGAAGGAATTTCACCTTCCATTTCTACTCAAAGAGCATATCAGTGTTTCCCTTGCACCTATTTGGCAACTTCCTAAATATATTTTCTACAAATAGTGTCTTTAAAATTACACAAGGAAGATATAACAATGGTTGCACATAGTCAAAAAATATTTTGCTGTGTTTTTAAAAATAATCGTTGTTAGTGCTATTTACAAAATGAAAAGACAAAAGAAAGACTATAAAAATGTGGGGTTTCTAATACTAACATCATTTTTATAGTAAATAATATTGGAGAAATCAATTGCTTATAAATAAAATAAGGTATAACAACTCAAAGACATAATTTTGAATGTCATCTAAATGCACAGTAAGTTTTTTTGTTTTTTACTTCTTGTCTGGAACAAAATTAGAATAACATTTCGGTGGCAGTCCAAACCAATGTGATTACATGACATTGGCAGGTGACAGCCTCACACCAATGACCTAGTAAGATTCTTATACCAAGCTCTGTCCTAAGAAAAATCTGGATGACATAAATTACCTGTCTTGCTTGTCCACACAATGGAAATTCTCAATATACTTTTCAAATGTGTTGTTTACTTTATTGGGGGAATTCCATCACCATTTGAGGTTTCTCCATAGATAATTTAGTTCTTCTTCCAGAATAAGTCTGAAAGGAGACATTTACCCCATGAGCCTTTTTCTGAGGAATAACAGAATTGTACATGATTAAAATATAATAAACTTTAGGAACAGAAATCATGAACACTGGGATTTTTTTTCAAAATTATGTTTATATTTAAATCATTAAATCAAAATTTTATTTTATAATTAGTAAAAAGAAGTTAATTTTATTTTAAACATCAATAGAAAGAAAAAGTACCAGGTAAAACAAAGAACAAGATATCAAAGCAAGCAACCTCTAATGTGTCCATTAAAATATTACATAGATAATTTTAGCCCTTTTTCTCTAAGCTTATCCTCAGCAGTAAAATTCCCAACTTTTGGCCAATGCTCCCTTTTAAACCTGTTTTTATTTACACTGAGTTGGTGAAAACCAGATTTTTAAATTAAACTGCCTTATACTTTCCTGGTTTTCAGAAGAATTTATTCTCAACTCAAGATCATCTTTCTATAGGGTTTTTTCTAGTACTATTTCATTTCTTCTTTCTGCTAGCTATTAATGAAAGAGCATTTATTATGAACCAAAAGCTGTTAGTACATATTAAAGACTTTAAACAAATATTTTTCCAAAGTACATGCATCCGTCTGGTCCTCTATGATCTCTTTAAAGTCTTTATGAAACAAAGATCCATTAGTTAATTAATGATTAGTCTCAGAGGAAGGCGTTTGAAGATGTAAAAGTTTAATAAAGCAAGGGACAGTGAGACAGTGGCATTTCTAATTAGAAAGGTGAATTCATTAAAGAGAACTCACAAAGAAAAGAAAGTATGTTCAACTAAGGTCAAATAATACTGCAATGAGAGGCTACCTCTACATCTTTGTCAAACATTTCAAATCAGGCCTAGAAGAAGAAGCATTCAACACAACTGTAGTTCTTTGTTTTACTTAACTTTATTACTCTCCTAGATTTTTATCATATGTGACCCTAGGAAAGAAAGAATATCTAAAGGAAAGATATCGCCTGTTCTGAATACACAACTGTGATATAAGTGAAAAAACATAGTTTCTAGATTACATTTCTAAAATCTTTCCAATAGCAATTTGATCTCAAGTTTGTTCTTTTTCTCAAGGAATCTTGTCGGATGAGATTCCTACTGTCCAGACACATAATCAATCTCCTGTGCAACAATGGAGAACTACACAGATTCATTTTATAGAAATAGATATGGCTTGAATTTTTTTTTATTATGTTACTTCTTGGCTGAAAAGATTCAGTAAAACACAGTATGTGAAGAATAAATATTGCAGATTCTAAATGCATTTTAAAAAAATATAACGGAATTTCTTAAAATTGAAATATAATACCTAAAATGTAGAAACTTTCTGGGTTAATTTAACTTATTTTCATAGACCATACAATCTATTTGACTTCACTAAAATTATGTTAATTATAGATTTTTAAAAATATGGATATATTAAAGACAATAGAACAGTTTCTCAAATTAACTTTCCTTTACAATTACCTGCTTCTTGAGATTACATAAAATTACTACTCCTTAAAAAAAGTCATATCTTTTTAATTGATTTATTAAGGACAGCTACAGTAGATAGACTTAATATAATTAATTGCCATGCATGTGGAGTAATTTTGTATACATGAATTGAATTCCATCCATGTATTCAATGTAATTTTCATTATTATTTTTAAAATAGAAAACATTCATATAAAAATTACTTTATGCCAGTAACTACTCTAGAAGATTTTTGTATATATTATTAGGTTGGTGCAAAAGTAATTGTGGCTTTTGCCATACTTTTAACTCACAATTATCTTTTTTTACCAATAGGGTAACAGAGGTAGGGAAAGGTCTACTAACTTGCCATTAAGTACTAGACCTGAATTCAAAACAGACTCTTACGACAATATCTCTGTTCTTAACCTCCATTCTGTACTTCCTAGGAATTTTTCCTTATGCTAACAGTAATTTGAGTGGGATTATATTAATGAGAAATGATTTCCTAAATATTATTTACTTGCTATCTTATGAAAACATTATATATGCTTAGGTGGATTCAGATATTGATAATTTTTCTGTCATGGGTAGTCCCTCATTTAGAACCATTCTCAATTATTTCCCTAAAATATCTACTGAATGGTTAAATGAATACATGGAAAAATTAAATATTAAGTTATCAAAACACATGTTTGATATAAAAAAGATCTGATGTAATTTTACTTTTCGAATTGTGGCATGAGGAGTTCTGTGGCCCAGTGCCCCCAAGAAACAGCCACAACTTGAGAAAGTATAACACATGAAAATTTATATTTTAAAAAGTCACCATTTTAAGTTTCTGGCAATTTTCCTAAGGGCATACAACAAATGAAGAAACATTTACTTAAGAAAATCAACTAAATTTTGGTAATGTCAGAGGTGTTCAAACAAGAGCTACTCCATCTTGAATAGGGGCTGGGTAAAATGAGACTGAGACTTACTGGGCTCTATTCCCAGGAGGTTAGGGATTCTTAGTCACGAACGAGATAGGAGGTTGGCAAGAATTGTATTACAAGATAACAGGTCATAAACACCCTGTTGATAAAACAGGGTGTGATAAAGAAGCTGGTCAAAACCTACCAAAACCAAGATGGAGATGACAGTGGCCTCTGGAAGTCCTCACTACTCATTATATATTAATTATAATGCATTAACATGCTAAAAGACACTCCCACCAATGCCATGACAGTTTACAAATGCAATGACAATGTCCAGAAGTTATCCTATGTAGTCCAAATAGGGGCGGACCCTCAGTTCTGGAATTTCCTGCCTCTTTCCCAGAAAACTCATAAATAATCCAGCCTTTGTTTAGCATATAGTCAAAAAATAACTATACCTATGGAGTAGCCATTCTTTAATTTCTTTACTTCTTTAATAAACTTGCTTTCACTTTATGAACTTATCCAAAATTCTTTCTTGCTCAAGATCCAAGAAACCTCTCTTGGAGTCTGGATTTGGATCCCTACTGGTAACAGTAAGAATATCCAGTGATACTTGAGCCACAACCCACTTCTTCTACCTTACACACACACACAGTTTAAACTAATGGAAGTTCCACTTGGAGTGCATGTGGCCAAGGAAATGGGCTACCTCTTCTCCCAGCTCCCTGTCAATGGCTATGATATTTCTCTGGGAGGGGCACTGAGCCAGCATTTCTCATTTCTCACTCCCTCTAGCTAGTTGTTACAGACACTAAATTCTAGATGAGTGAAGCCAAGACAGCAAGGGCTTCTTTTTTCCACCCAGCCTTGACTCATGAATCAGAATATTATTTAATAATACAGATGTGGCAGGCCAATAATACAATAATACAGGTAATGAGGTAATACCTCATTACCTTTGCCACACCTCACTGATAGGAGGCTCCATAATGGGAAAGACAATTTTACAGGACCAGAGGTCACTGTCCAAAGCCTGCATCCCACTCATAGAATAGGAATGCTACTCTAAGAGTAGTGAGTCACTATTCTTGCCCCCAGTTCATTAGCAGTGGCTTAGAGATTTGACCTGGGGGAACAGAGAGACCACAAGAAGAGAGGACTTCAAAGCTTTCTCAAAATACTAAATTCAATTGAACAGATTGCAGGGAAGTTCAAATTTAAGGGAGCTCCCCAAAACAATGGATATTTTTGTGGTAAGCTATTAAGAAGTGGCTAGTAGCTATATAAGAGTAACAGCCAAACTGTAGATCACTCAGTTTATCAGGGTGAACACCTAAGAATAGCTCTGTTCTGTTAGAACAAACCTCAAGGAGGGAACTGGAAAACTACTCCTGCAAAGGACTTAAATTTAATTGGATCAGGCTCTGGAACAATTTATGCCCCAGGACATTTTCAAAAACAATAGGGCAATCAGCCACCAATCAGTGGAGTTCAACAACTAGGTGTGAAATTCACAGAGAGAGAGAGCATAACAGAAAGGTTAGGCAAAAGAAAAATAAAAACAAACCTACTAAAGCTAAAATCAATGACATTCCACACTAATCCTGCATATCCCCAGAGTTGAGCCCCCTAGGAGCAACAACAGAGGCTTCACACTGAAGAGGAAACTAACTTAAAAATTCTCTAGCCAAGTCACTAAACAAATAAATAATAAAACAAGCCCTGAGAGTGGGAGAATCAGTCAACAGAATTGTAACAATATGTTTTAAAAATACCCACTTCTTAAGGAAAAAAAACTATAAGACATGGAAAGAAACAGAAAAGTATGACCCGTATACAAGAAAAAGAAAAAAGATAAGAGACACTTGTCTACAAGAGGGCCCAGGTATCAAACTTAGTAGACAAAGACTTCAAAACAGCCATTATAAATATATTCAAAGAACTATAGAAAGCCTATTGAAAAAAAAGTATGACAATGTCTCATGAAATAAGAAAATTTAAGTAAAGTGATAAAAATTGTGAAAAAGAACAAAATATAAATTTTGGAATTAAAGAGTGTAATAATGAAAATTTAAAATGCACTAGAGAGACTCAATAGTATATTTCAACTTCAGAAGAAAAAAATCAGCTAATTTGAAGATATATTGATAGAGTTTATGCAATCTGAAGAACAAAGAGAAAAAAATAATGCAGAAAAATGAACAGAGCCTCAGAGTAACATGGGAAGCAATTAAGTGCATCAACATACATGGAATGAAATTAACAGGAGAAAAGAGAGAAAAAGGAAGTTGAAAATAGAACTTGTATGGTATCTAATGTAGGATCATGTGTGTTTTATTGCCATGAGTCTTTCATCATTTTAGATCTGATAACTTTCCATAAACCTTTGTCTCTTACTAGATAGGCATTTTTTAAGAATACAACCTGCTTCATTTTGTAAATAGAACGTGCCTCATTGCGTTTGTGTGATGTTGTCCCATGGAGAGATTCAATGTATGCATTCCCTGATAGAATAGTACATATAGACTGTCCCTTTCAGATCATCACAGTGGCACACAGCATCTAACTGAGTCTCACTGGTAATGTTTATCTTGATCACCAAGTCTAGGGATTTTTCCAATTTCTCCATCTTAAAGTTATATTTTTCTTATGCAAAAATTAAGCAATCTGTGAAAGGACAATTTAAGATGATGCAAATATCCTACTCTTCATTGAAACTAGGTTTAGCGTTAATTAAATATTCTCACGTGAACCAATCTTTGCTATAATAGAGCATAGTTTTATTTTCTATTTTAAATGCTTTAATTACATTTTCAAAAATGAAAGTCAGTTAAGTTTAAATTATCTTGAATTAAATTTTTAATATTATAACTTATACTTGGAACTCGTATTTTTCCACTTAGTTTTGATAGGTAATATTTAACATTTTAGAATAAAAATAACCTTTTGAAAAGAAATGAAAGTAACTACATTTTTTGTTTATAAATTTTGTGTAATTTGCATCTTTAATTATGCCTTCATTATATTTTGTTGCTGAATACCCAGATCAATTCTAATAAAACATGGATTATGTAAAAATCTTGACTAATATCAGTAATTTTGTGTACATGTGGGAAATAAAAATAACATGAAATAAACACATAACTTGTGAATATTGTTATTTTATTTCTAATCATACCGTTGTTGGCTTATCAATAGTATACATAGCTATGTATACTAATACTTAACTGCAGTCTTCTTTTTTTAAAAATAATCTGAATGTATATTATTTTTAAAAAAAATGTTAGATTCATGGGGTAGATATGCATGTTTGCTACATGAGTACATTGCATGATGCTGAGGTTTGAGCTTCTAATGATCCCATCACTCAAGTAGTGAACATAATATCCAATAGCTAGTTGTTCACCCCTTGACTCCCTCCCTCTCAAGACTTCAATAAACCTTAGTTCACACTTTTGGGTATTTTTTTAATGAAGGTATATTTGTCAAAGTATGAGTATAAAATATATTTTATTTAGCAGATAATGACCTTTACTTATAATATTTAAATATTTAGACATGACATATATGGGCTTTCATATGCAAATTTATTTTGGGCCCTGCAAAATTTAGGGGTAGGCCTGGTGGTGAGGCTGCCATCTCTCCAGAAAAACCCAGGTTGAGAGATAACCAGAATATTTTGGGTAGTGCAGATCACATTCACTGGGATTTTATTCAAAGCAAGAGATAGGGTGTTTCTTCCTAAAGTAAATTATTTAAGTTATCACTCATTCAAAGTTAATATGTAGAGAGAAGATATTAAGAATTATAAGACATAAAGAAAAGATATAAAGATCAGAGCAGATCAGCATGATCATTTGCTAGAATCAAACATCTCCATCTTGGTGTTCAATGCATTTCATAAGAACTAACAAGGCAAGTTACCTCTCAGCACAAATGGATAAATATTTCTCAGTTAATTCTTAGTGCTTACATGTTGTCATTAATTTTAGCCCTGAAGTTTTGAGAATGCAAAAAATAACTTCCTGAACAGCCCAGCACTTTCCTATTTTAAGAATGAAAAGCAAAAGTATAGCAAACATTTCTGCATAACAGAAATCAGCAAAACATGTTAACTGTGTGTGATACTGCCTGGAAAACCCAAAAGTCCTGCAAAATGCATGCCTTTTAAATATGTTTCACCTCCCTGGCAATTCGGAGAGGACATCTGGAGAATTCTTGTGCCCAGGTACACATAGGAGGCCAGAGATTTGTCTCTTTAATCACTTTGTGGTAGTAGCTTTCCTCCTGTTCTTCCTTGATAACAGTAATCACAGCCAAAATATTTTACTTGGAGTTTCCTCAGCATCAAGTGTGTCATTTTCTGGCTCCAACTGAATCTTTAAAAAGAATCACCCCATTTTTTCCCCTCAAGGTACAATCATTTTATTTTCTCTTGTACCTTTATAGAAGAGAGAGAGAGAAAAAAGCAAATCACTCTTCCCAGAGGCAGAGGAAAAATAATTCCTTCAAGCCATTTTCTACATGCCTTCTTTCTCCAAGCTCACTTCCCTGGTAGTATAGGTTATTTTCTGTGTGGATAGTCCAGTCTGGTGTCTGACCTAAGGAGTAAAATTAGGTTCATGTTATTTCAACTGTGGAAAGTCCTAAATGTACTAAGATTTAATAAGGATGAGAAAACAAAAAATACATATTATGCATTTTTTCATGCAAAAAGGCAGCAAAAGTGCACTATTTGTTATTGCTACCACTTTAGCTCCATTTGTTCCACCTCCACTTTCACATTACTATCACTGCTGGGAAGCTTCTAAGAATCCCACTGAAGTATTAAAACAAATACCAAAAAAACCCCTGCTAAATTATTTGTGCTTTTACTGTAAGAAAATAGGCATTTTTTCAACAGAGTTTAATGGTAGCACCTAAGTCACATATCCGAGGCCAAATAATTCAAGGAATTAAGGCAATTTGCAGAATAACCCATGAACTTTTGCCTCAATTACCTGTATTATCCAATATGATCACTTGAATTATCTGCAGTGGTACCTTTATCTCTTTGTTTCAACCAAGTGGTCTGACCTGAATATACTGGGTAAAAGTTAATAAGCAAAAACTATTTAAAAAATTACTAAAAGATAAATATCCAAATCATAGTATATTTTTAGTTGACCTTTGCCAGTTCTGTTGGGGACTACTGCAGTGTAAGGTCATACAAATATATACAAGAGAATGACAGTGAATGAAGACAAAGTTGGGCTTCAGTCTTATCCAGTCTCAAAATACATATCTTTAAAAATCTTTTCATATTTGAAAAAGGAAGCGTGAACAAGTGTATTCCTAGTTCTTAACAAAATGAGTTTGCTCAAGTGTATACTTTAATAAGAAACAGATTGGAGTTTCCATTTTCAACAAAATAAAATTGTGTTTATTTTGGAAAGATTATAAGTTTTATATCTCCAAAGGCAAAAACATACACTTAAGTATGAAAGAGGAGTAAAAGTATATTGGAACATTGATATAAAATAAGTAATTTATCTCATTTTACACATTTATCTTTTCTTCATTTGTGGCTGTACCACAAGAAGTTGGAGGGAATCTATCTAACACATTCTGTAGTTGTGAACTTTTATGCCTTCAAAAGAAGAAAAGTAATTCATTAGAGAAACATAACACTCTGAAATAAATATGTGGAATAAACTTTTACATATCTGAAACATAACTTTTCTCTAAAGTTTTTTGCTTTCCTTTTTTAGAATTTACACACTTTAATTATAGTGAATGTGAAGAAATCATTTGCCAAATTACAGCTCCATATTTTTAATGAAAAAGAGCCTTAAGCAAAAGCTATCACTTGCAACTCAAAACTGAAGAAATATTTTAATCATACATGAACTAAAAGAGAGCATCATTATCACTTTCTGGCTATGGCTATTTTTAATGCTATAAAAAGCTTATTATTCAGTATACAATATATTTTCTTCAACACATCTACTCTAAACATCAAAACTTTATTCTATTTGCCAGAAGAAATATAAATGACATTCTCCAAAGAGGGAGTTTAACCAAATATTATTTTCTTGTATACTGTTTTCCTAAGGCTCAAGTTACCCCAAGTTAGTATAGACACAGCTATGGATAAATAACCTGAGATTGTTCTCATACAGTGTGACTACTGATTCAGCTAGGAGTCTGTCACCCTTGTGTATTGAATGAGATTGTTGCCTTTGAAAGTTGATAAGAACACTTCTTCACCTTTACGTATTCTAGACACTACCTTCATAGCTAATTGCATTTTTGTCAATAAACCACATTTAATTTGGTTCATAGTTTTTCTCTTATTATCAAAATTATTCATAGATGTCAATGATAGATGAAACCAGAGCCTGGGTGACAAAGTGAAACTCTGCCTCAAAAAAAAAAAAAAAAAATCTTCACCAAAATTCCTGACTGTACCTGTTACTCTAGTTATAAAAATTTGTTTTCAGCATCTTCAAAATGCATTTATTTTAATCATCTTTCTCCATGATATATAACATATACTCAAACAAGTATCTGCTTTAATGAATAATTGTAGAGTTCATGCTCATATTACCATTAAGCATTTCGACAAATACAACAGGGCCAGAAACTCAGGAGTCAATCATGAGTCCTGCTCCAAACACAAACCTATATATCTCTTTTCCAGGAATATTTATTATTACAATTTTATGATAATCAATTCATTCCTTTTCCTTGTAGTTTTGTTATCTGTCTAGGCATCTCTGAACAATGTACCTTGCTTTGGTCTTTTTTAGAACTTTATATAAAACAGCACCAAAGGGTATAAAACATCTGTGTCTTGCTGTTTTTATTCAAAATTCATCTATATTTTTGTGTATAGCTGCAGTTTTTATTTTCAATACTGTGTAGAACTTTATTTTAGACTACATTGTTATTGCTTTACCAACGAGTATTGAGAAAAGTTTGAATTACTTAATGTGGAGCTATTTTTATTGTCCTGTGCCCAGGTACTTCATTTTCTAGGGTATATTCCTAATAATGGAACTGTTAGGTCGTGAAATATAAATATTCGACTGTTTAGAATGTGCAATCTATTTGCTTTTCTTTTTGTGGCTACAATAAAAGTAATAACATCCATCATAAGTTAAAAGTCTATTGATAGCTCAATCTTTCTCCTGATAATTACATGGGCTAAAATACTGCTATTTATGTTATTGTTATTGGATATTTTAATCTATCTTGAGCTTTTAACACTAAAATGCACTAATTTTGTTTGTACAGTCATGATTTGTTTAGATTTACCTGTATGTTCACCACTTTTTTCTTTCTTCTCAGACCTTCTATCCAGAAGCATTAGCTTTCTGCCAGAGGTCTACTGGTTACATGATTTTTGCATGAATGTGAATTCATGTAATTCTTATTATTGAAGATATTTTTGCTTGATTTCATGTTCTAGGACTCCAGTCCTCTGTCCTCTTTTGCCGCACATTGAAGATGACATTCCACTAACTGTTAGCTTACAAGTGCTGCTGTTAAAGGGTCAGTTGTCAATTTACCTTGCATAATTTTGTGAATCATCTCTTCATTCTTTGGTTAATTTTAACAATGCCTTTCCTGTTTTGATGTTTTAAAATTTAACTAAGGTGTGTCTAGATGCAATATTTTTAAAAATTATTCTAAAAAGAATTTGTTAGGCCTCCTGAATTGGTATTTTTATTAGTACAGGAAAAATTTAGCCATTATCTCTTGAAATATTAACTTTGCCTCATCGTCTCCCTGCTTCCTTCTTTACATTCTGATTAAATGTACTGTAGACTTCACTATAGCTACCATGTGAAATTTCCAGATTTAAACAAATCTAGTGATATATCACTGTGCTCCCCTTTAAATAGTTTTATCTAAACCTGCTTCTAGTTTACTTTGCCTCTTCTACCGTGTCTGATCTGATGACAATCCTTTCCATTAAGTTTTTGATTTTGGTTTTTCTATATTTAATGTCTAAATGTTCATTTTGGCTTTTAAAAAATATTAGGCTACATTTAATAATTTTGTGTCTCTGAGATATTTTCAACCTTATTTATAATTCCTTACCCATTGTAAATGTAGTTGTTTTATAATCTGTCTCTGATAATTGCAGATATCTGAAGTTTGTCTGAGTCCATTTCTGCCTTCTGTTATTTTTGCTCGTTTGGGCTTTTTTGGTCTGATTTCTTTTTATATTTGGCTAATTCTGATGGGTACTTCTTACTGTTGTTAAAAATGTTTTTAACAGATTTTTGGAGGCCTAGAATAAAGGTATCTTTTGTTACAAAGAATTTGTGTTTGCTTTTGCCAGTCCTATAGGCACTACCAAGTCAAAACCATCAAAAACCAACATTGTGACTTAAGGTTTCATGTACAATGCAGGTCATGTAAACCCAGGCTGTAAACTTATGCAAAACTCATGACTGATTCTGTTATCGATGTTTTTCCTTTGCTTACTTTTCTTGCTCTTTCATTGACAAGACAACTTTCTAAGTGGTGTCCTAGGAAGTATAGTATTTTGGATCACAGTCTACAGTGGGTAAAATTTTTATGAGACATACCACTTGAGGTGAGCTTTGGGTCTTTACTTTATCCTTCTTTTCTTCAGAAGCTTAAATTCCAAAGCCCAAGTTTGCCTAATTAGTAAATGCCACTATGGGAAAAGTTTCTTGGCTGCTCTGAGAGATTATTTACCTCTCTGAATTGAAACTTTCCTTTAGATAGATTCCTCTTATTTGTTAGTCTACGTATAGCTCATTTAAAGACAGCATTTAAAAAATATTTTATCGAACATTTGTAGTTGTTTTCAACAGATGATGTTATGGATTGAATCATGTGCCCTCAAATATTATATTTAAAGTCCTGACCCTCAGTACCACAAAATGTGATCTTATTTGGAATTCCTTCTCTTTTTGGTATTAAGGAAGATAGAAATATTAGACAACTTAATAGAAAAACAAACAAAAGACTTGAACAGATGATTCTCAAAAGAGAAAATCTAAATGGTCAAGAAATACATAAAAATGCATTCAACTTCATTAGTTATCAAAGAATAGAAGATTAAATCCAAAATTTAATACTGCCACATACTATTAGAATGGCTAAAATGAAATGCATTGCAAATATCGAATGTTAATGAGAATGTGTAACAAATGCGACTCTTATGCTCTGATAGACACATAACTCAGTACAGTCACTTTGAAAAACTGTTTCACACTGCCTACTGAAGCTGCACACATGCAAAGCTTTGATCTAGAAATTCTATTCTAGGTAGATACCCTAAAGAAGTGTATACACACGTTTTCCAAAAGACGTGCTAGAATGTCAAATTAACAGCTGATGGGTATGGGTTTCTTTTAAAGGGGAAACAGAAATATTCTAAAATTAGATTCGGATGATGGTTGCAGAATCCCACGTTGTACACTTTAAGTGAGCAAATTGTATGGCATGTGAATTATATCCCAATAAATCTGAAAGAGAGAGGAAGGAAGGAAGGAAGGAAGGGAAGGAAGGAAAGGGGTAATGGTCAAGAAACAGAAAGTGGAGTTCCAAACTTAGCATAGCTATCAGTGAAACAGTATGCCTTGAAAATGTCTCTTAATCATCTTAGCTGCGATGGACCTAAGTTTTTTCATGTGGCAAATGAGGGTTTTAGACTGTTCTACCATTAGTCATTTTTGGTGAATAATCCTTTCTCTAATTAAAAGAAAAGCACTCTTCACTTAATTGTCATGATAAATCTTAATACATTTTTGATTTCTGATATTTTTGTATCATTAATGGCCTCTTAACTAACTTATTAAATTTCTTATGATTTTCTGAAATTAGATAACACCTGCCAAGGAGACCAAAGCAAAATGGCTCAGAGCTCACTATATCAAGAGTTCCTTAGCTGATGTCTGTTTAATGAAATTCTTAGATTCTGGTATCATAGGTTCTGTCATGAAAGGTATTTGCATAAAATATTGAAGCTACCGTACTCAAACAAATTTTTGTAAGAGTTATAATTCTTTCAACAATAAGAATACATAAGTTTGATATTTATATGAAGATATAAATTTATATCGACAATAAAAATACATCAGTTCAATATTTATATTAAGATACACTGGCATAAATATATTTTGGCAACATTTATACAGTTAAGACTGAAAAAGAAAGTACCAGTTATGAATGAACAAGGAAATATCCTGGTGTCTCTAGGCTTCTGCTGGGACAGATGCTTCTATTGCCTCTGGTTAGTGTGTGAAATAAAGCACATCATTCAAAAACCGTACTATAATAATTCCCTTTCTTTGGATTGATTGAAGCAAAACCAGCTATATTTTTCTACTGTGTTATACTTTCCCTCAGATAATTAAATGTGGCTGTCTTGCAGTAAACCAACACATCTGACAAACTTCTGAGGTCTCCAAGGACAGTTAACATTACATAAAATGTGTACAAGGAATTTAATTATATACTTAAATAATTATATGCGTTTATTGCTTGTCATTTGATATATTGTCTGTAATTTCACATAAATATCTAGAGAATTATGATATTTGTATAGAGTAGGCTAGATGTAGGCAATTGGTTTATTATAGGTGCCTAATTTGGCCCCTAGATGGAATTTTGCATTTAATACACACTCCATTGTGTTTTGAGATTCCCCATTATTCTACCTGGACAGAGCTAATGAGATTACGCAAAAAGAAATATTAACTTTTCAGGTTACAATATTTATTTTCATTATATCATTTATAACTTTTGAAATTAGTATCAAGAAAGGACTGACTTCGGGGCAATATATAAAATTATTTGAAAATATATTTGATTAGAACTTCATTTTGTCTAAAGCTTTGCCATATTTAAGTTATTTCTATTATTTTACAGATATAGGTTTATAATATACAATACAAAAACAGAATTGTGCACTGTAAAGAAAATTCAACTAGGATTCAGATGACTTAATTTATTTTAGGCAACTAATTTAAATTTCTTTTTTTTTTCTTACTTGGAAATGAAGTAAACCATACAAATCTCAAACTGCAAATGGCATAGATATACAGTTTGATGAATTTTCACAAACTGAACATAATCAC
The DNA here is from genome assembly GCF_000001405.40 of Homo sapiens. Classification (NCBI taxonomy): domain Eukaryota; kingdom Metazoa; phylum Chordata; class Mammalia; order Primates; family Hominidae; genus Homo; species Homo sapiens. Next base: position 156,337,552 of record NC_000004.12, on the reverse strand, counting down.
ATACTCAACACACAGAATTTAAGAATGGGCCTTAACCAGATCCTAGAAGGTCTGCTTGTATCTCCCTAGCGCTCCTTAAAGGGGGCTGCTATTAATCTGATTTCCAGCATAACCAATACCTTCAACCTGTGTTGGGTTCCCATTAAATTGGAGTAAAAGAGTATATCCTTTTTTATGTCTGGGTTTTATTGCTGTAATTTAGGTTTAAGACATTATTTCATATTATTGTTTTGTTATTAGGTTGTGTAATATTTAAATCTTTCTTAATATTAAAATAAAAGAAAAATTATATTTGATGTTCTTTATAGTTCCTTCAGTTTCTACCAGGCTCTCATCTATGATTTATCTTTGCTCCCCAAAGAAGTAGGCAGGTACATTTCTACTAGGTAAATACCAGTAGTGCTAATTAAATATCTCTAAATAATGATAGCATGACCCCTTCAGGAAATAGTTCAAACTCCAGATACTGAACACATTCAATTCCATTCAAGTTTAATTCAGTTTAAGTCAAATACTTTTGGTTGGTCATTTATTTGGGGCATTTTATATGTTGCACAACGTCACTTGTTGACACACCAGCATTCAAGAAAAATTGTATTATTTTATTTCAACTAGGCTAGATTTAGCTTGAATTTTATTTGGTTAGACTGTAGACAGTCTCAATCATCCCAGTCTACTTTCTTTGGTGCAAAAGTAACATTGTTCTTAAACAGAAGGAAAATTTTAGGAGGCTTTTAGAACTTAGTACTTACTGCTACTAAGCTCAGTAGTTACATTCCCATGATTGAATATACAAGCTCAGCTAAAAACATGCCACACACCCTAGCCACAACTTCCACCACAAATTCCACTTCACATATGTCACAGATCCTGCCATTTCCTAGGGAGGCCACTAATATCCATCATCTACATTTTCTCTTGCTCCCTCATCTCAAAGCATATATCTCTTTCCTTCACTCTTTCCCTGCTACTCAACTTCTTCTAATTTCAAGGTCCTCCCCACCGAGACCAAAAGATGCATTGTCTTTAGACAACTAATGTTTTGAAGATGGGCTACAAAATCACAGAAACAAGTAATAAAGGACTAGCTTTCTTGACTTAGAAGAGGAAACATGTAGAGAATTAAACACAGATAGCTCTCAATCTTTTAAGCAAATTAACATCTCAATAAGTGCATCTACCATACAACTAAGACTCTTGTACTGAATTCACAACAGAGCTGAGGGAAATTATTTTTTATTGATTTACTTAAGGTAATTTTTACTGATTCACTTCTGTCCCTGGAGCAGTTTGAGAAAATCTCTGCATTCACTCAGAACCATGGTTCTACCACTCTGCTTGAGCAATTCACCTAATCACTTAATGTTTTTAAAACATTTTTTGAAAATGGTCAATGATCACAGTTCCTTTCTTATAGTTTTGTTGTTGTATACAATAAATGTAAATAATGCATGGACCAAAATTATCTAACATATCTCTCTACCTATCTTTAAATAAATAAAATGACATTTAAACACCTACTGATGAGAGGAAGTTTTCTCTGGGTCTCTTGCTTTCTTATATATCTTGACAAGTATGCAAAAGCACAAGACTGATTTGTCTTTTGCCCAAGCCACTTAGTATTGTTTATGCAGCTGGCAATTTTGAGATCTGAAGAAATGCATTGCAGGAATGCATTACATAATTCTGAGTTAAACCAAATTTTTCTCTATAAAAATAATAGGTTTGTTTACTACTTAGTATGAAGTGATGGATTCCCTAAGTTCTTCTCTTATGGCACATCCCACAGCACATGGAAGCTCTACCTGGCCTCCTGTGTCTCCGTGTGAGACGTGAGACGCAGAGACCCAGCTGAACAGTACCGAAACTCTTGCCACTGCTTTTATTGAGAGTAACAGAATCCTTTATTTCTAACCAGGAGTCTCATGTCTTCTGTGAGCATCTGTGGAACTGTGACAGGCAAATTTATGAACTTGTATAGATATTTTGGCTGGCAATCTAGCTCCATTCCACACTGTCAAACTTATTAAGTAGGGTAAAGTCCATGTCTGTGGCTTATAACAGAATACCTGAAACCAGGTAATTCACAAACAAACAAAATGTATTTCTTATAGTTCTGTAAGCTGAGAAGTCCAAGGTCTAAGGGCCAAGTCTGGTGAGAGCCTTCTTGCTGGTGTAGACTCTTCGAAGAGTCCTAAGGTGGCACAAGTTATCACAGGGAAAGGGAGCCTAGCATTCTAATATGCTAGATCAGGTTTCTCTTCCCCTTCTGGTAAAGCCACTAGACCCGCTCCCATGACAGCATGTTAACCTCTTAACCCATTAATCCATTAATCAACAAATGAATAAATCCATCCATGAAGGGAGAGCCATCATGATTCAATCATCTTTTAAAGGCCCCACTTCTAAATACTGCCACATTGAAGACTGAGTTTCAATATGAGTTTTGGAAGAGACATTCCAACTTTAGGCTATACTATAGTTCTCCTGAAAAGAGAACTTAAGAGATGCTGAAAGTTGAAGAAAGGAAGCGACCATAACTAAGAAATAATATATATTCACTTGATTTTAAAAAGATATATTTAACCTATTTTACTGGCAAAAAAAAGCTGATTCACTTTGTATTATCGTGCTCCTTTTCAATTTTATAGGAAAAAAGAAATGCATTTATTTATAGCTGACAGCAAAATAAATACTTATTTAAATTAGTAGAAGCTTTTCTTGCATGCATTGCTTTATAAAAAGCCACGAGTTTATTTTTGCTTTGAAATTTCTCTAAGGTATGGGAGGATGACACATTATGTGGGAATTTGCTTGAGTGATTCTCTTAAACTTTCTAGTATCTTCTTGCCTATTGTTATGCACTTGCTTTAATCAGTTCAATTTAACAAGACAAGATACAGTCTTTCCAACTAAGAAATTAGATTGAACACAACCCAACTGACCTTCAGTGAAAAATTCAAGAAAGAAAAATAAGCTTATCTTTTCTTAAATTGTTTGCCATAAAGTGTAAACAATGGTAAATAAAACCAAACTTAGCCTTCAGCAAATAAATCAATCCTTCTGAATCTTGTGGGTTTTGTTTTTGTTTTACATTATAAATGGTGTTGGGTAGTATATCAGCATATTAGGGCTACTATACAGTGTATCAAAGGCTAGGTGAGTTAAACAACAGAAATGTATTTCCTCACAGTTCTGGAGGCTGGAAGTCTGAGGTCAGGGTGTCCACAAGGTTGGTTTCTTCTGAGGCCTCTCTCCACGGCTTCCAGGTAGCTGGCTTCTTCCTGTGCCTTCACATGGTCTTCCCTCTGTACCTGTCTGTGTCATAATATCTTCTTAGAAAGGCATCAGTTGTATTGATTTAACTTCCAACTGAATGACTTCATTTTAACTTAATTATTTCTTGAAAGACCCTGTCTCCAAATACAGGCACATTCTGAAGTGCTAGTGGTTAATGCTTCATTATGTGAGTTTTTGGAGGAAATAATTCAGATCAGAACAGGCAGATTATCATAAAGTGTATAAAACACCTGGTCAAAAAAAGTGCAAATGCAATAATCATCATCATTGTCATTATTATCCAATCCTTGTGGAAAGCACTAATGTAAAAATAATTACTTAGGATGAATCTTTTTATCTTGGTTAAAGACAGAATAAGAGGCTATGGTCTGAATGTTTGTGTCCCCACATCCCCAGATTCATATATTGAAACCTAACCTCTAAGGTGATGGTTAAGAAAAGGCATTTAGGAGGTTGATTAGGTCATGAGGGCTCTGCCTTCATGGATGGGATTAGAGTCTTTTTAAAACATGCTTGAGGGAGCATGTTTGCCACTTCCACCATGTGGGAACACAGCAAGAAGGCACGTCTTTGAAGAAGAGAGAGAGTCTTTACCAGACACTGAATCTGTGGTTGCCTTGATCTTGGATGACCCCAGTTCCCAGAGCTGTGAGCAATAAATCTCTGTTGTTTACGAACTGCCTAGTCTAAGATATTTCGTTATAGCAGCCTAATCAGACTAAGACAGCATGCACTATTCATATCAGATAAAAAAATGACAGAAATGTATTAATAAAATGTGTTATATACCTATTGACTAGTAATTTGTATTCAAGCGGTATGTTTGGATTGCAAGAGTCATCAAATATAATGATGATCAAATATAATCATCAAATATAAATGCTTGTTGAGCTTAAATCCCACGTGTTCACATGTGCATAATGCTTTGCAAGTGCAAACACATCTTGAAGCATTTACTGTTAAAAAGAACTTCAAATAAAAACAATTGTACTTACAACTGTTTTGTATAGCACTTCAAGTGCTATATAATTATAATCCATACTTATCCCTATGAACATCTTTTATCTCTATTTCTAAATAGTATGCTTTCTTATGTCTCTACTTGTGATACATATTGGTAATAAAACTGATTTGGATTCTAAACTAGCATTAATTCTACTCTTCGTGATGTAAGACTCAATGTATCTCTTATTTCTTCCACAAAGTCATATAGCACATATGTTTTCTATAAAATCAAAGTAAATAAATATATATATTTACCATATTCTATATATTTCATGTTTATCATAAAATACATGTATTTTACTGATTATTATAGATTTATAAATTAATAAACATTATATATATATACCTTCAAAATTTATCCATTCATTCATTCACTGTTTGAATGACTATGTTTTGCAATCTGCTATTTTAGCATCGTTTAAAATCTTATTTTATTTTTTATTTCATGTGTTTGTTCATAAGCTTATGTTAGTTACAGGATCCATAAGGAAAGGGATGATTTCTAATGCATGTTTATTTTCCTGGAATAGTGATACTCCTATCCTCATACAAGTCTCATTGTGAACTGAATGCTTGTGTTCCCCTAAAATGCATACATTGAAACTACAACACACAATGTGATGGTATTTGGAGTTTGGGCCTTTGATTATGGTTGGATGGGGTTATGAAGGTGGGGCCATCATAATGAAATTAGTACTCATGTAAGAAGAGACACCAGAAAGCTTGTGTGCACTATCTCTCTCTCTCTTTCCACACATAAACACAAACCACATACACACAAACCACCAGCATATATGTAAAGAGGAAGACATGGGACCATACAGTGAGTTGTGTGCCAAAATAAGAGGCCTTAGAATAAAAACTGCCTTGCCAGCAGCTTTATTTTCTACTTTCTAGCCTCCAGAATTGTGAGAAATAAATTTCTATTGCTTAAGTCACCCCATCTGTAGTATTTTGCTATGGCAGCCTATGCTGAATAAAACATGTCTATTTTGATTATTTTTTGTTTTGTGTGTTTGTTTTGGTTTAGAGTCTCCATAACAGGAAGAATCATTTCTAATACTTCTTTATCATCCTGGAATAGTGGTGTTCTTATCTTTACATAATTGCATCAAATCTTGGAGTGCTGACTACCAGAAGTCAAATTAGCAGCACCAGAATTGTTTGAGATTTCATGTAGTGAAGAATGATTTGCATGATCAGTATGCCCTATGAGCAATTTTATCCAAGAGATAAATAGTTTTGAGCAAGAGATCAATTAGTATAATGGTTTTTAGATATTGAGCCTCATAGACTAGATTTGCCATATCCAATTGCACATTTATTCACGTTGTCTCATCATTCATTTGGTAAACAAGTCATTACCAAACAAATGACTTGTTTGGTAATTTTTAAGAGAAATGTCATGGTTAGGGTGAAAGACTTCATTTCACTGATCTTGTCACTGACTCTGTGGAATGGCTTGAATACTAAATACCATGTGCACCTGAGGGATTCAGCCTCCTGGCAAATGACCCCATTGAAAACCAAAGGCTTCTTTCTGTAGACTACATCCATACTGGGCTAAGCATATTTGTGACCCCCTCTGGAGTGGCTTTTTAAATAGCCTGCTTTTGAATATATTCTACTAGCCACTTGGATATTATCCAAATGTTGCTTTCCTTTCTGCTTGGGGGTCTGTTTTACATTTTTATCTTTTATTTTATTTTCTTCTATTTCTTTTATTGATACATAATATTTCACATATGTGTGGGGTATCTGTATTTTTCAGGCATAGAATACATAAAGATCAAGTCAGGGTATTTAGCGTATCCATCAACTTGAGTATTTATCATTTCTATGTGTTAGTAACATTTCAAATCCTCTCATCTAGCTGCTTTGAAATATGCAATTTATTATTGCTACCTATAGTCACTGTAGTCTGCTATTGATCACTATTATTTATTTCCTCTATCTACCTATAGGTTTGTACCTATACATCAACATTTTTAATCTCTCCCTCCCACCCACACACCCTTTCAAATCTATGGCTATTTATCATGCTATCATTGTTTGTTTTCAATGATCATTATTTGAATTTTCCCTGAGTTTTAGTTAGTTTGTCTTGATTTCCCTTGTAGCATATTTAGACCCACTTAAATCTATTAAATACTTTTAATCTCCATTTCCCCATTCAGCTCCATGTTTTTGTATAGAGAAGATTCTCTTTAAAAAAAAAAAATAGCTTCCAGACTCTCTTGGGCTTGTGGTATAGAACATGGTGTCATCGTTTCTTGCCTAAAATAAACAAATAAACAACAATAAAACTTAGGTATGAAACCTGGATTTCACGAACATTACTTTCTTCTCTGTAACTAACCAATCCAGTGTCGCAATGGGACCAGGCAGAGAGGGTAATACTGAAGCCTGTGGCAAGCCATATGCCTCTAAATTTGATTTCAACATACTTTCCTCTTGTGAGGCTTAATGACGTGCGGACTTTAGGAAAGTAAACCCAGTGCTGCATACCTAGACTAGGAATCAATAATTTAATATAACACCTGGTGAACCCTGCCCGCTTGTACAGAAGTAGCAAATATTGTGCATGCACTTGTATAATAAAAAGTCAAGCTGAAACAGTGCACACTTGGGCACCCAGCTGCTAAACACCTGCAATTCTGTTACTTTGCTTAGGCCGGAAATTACATTTGAATGTACAAAGTCCAGAAACTTTGTAGTTCAAGGTAAAATTGGAGTATTTTTGCACCCAGATCAAGCACAAAGCCATTTTGCTTGGATCATGAACCAGGCCAATGGACTGACTGAGAGACATTGTTTGTTGGAAGTCTGGCGTGTGTAGATCTACTTCTGAACAGTAAGTTTTTTGAGGATTTTTAAAATGTCTATTTTGATCGCCACAGCATCCTCAATACCTACCTGGTACATATAAACACTCAGTGTGCTTTTACTGAATAAATATAATTAAAAGCACATTTTGAGTACTGCAGCGGTTTCTAATGCTCATTGTTATCTGTTTGTTCATTACTTCTGGCAACAGAGAAAGATTTAACTAACCATGTCCTTTCTCAATTAGACAAGACTATGTTATGTTACTAGATATAGGCTGTGAAATTTGAGCAAAAGCAATGAGCATCATTTATGGACCTAAACATTGAAAATGTGAGTACTGTACTCTCAATATTCTCTTTTTCCCAGCTGTAGTCATACTAGAACTGTGTTTTGGGAGAGCACTGTCATAAAATGAGGAACTTTGTGTCTCTGAATCATCCAGATAGGAGACTTCCTCTTCCGAGTTGGTCTATCCACATATGATTTGATGCAAGCTTTTGTTTGTTTAGTCATTGAGATTTGGACTTTATTTTGTTAGCATCCTATCATGCTGATATAGAACACTGATTTTGTGCCTGCTAATTTTATCTCTAACAGAAAATGATAAATCTACATTATAAGACTTTTAATTCTTCATTTTTTTGTTTATTATTGGTATATATGCAACAGCTTTATGAAATCCAGGAGAAAGCCAGCTTTTATTTAATTTGTGAACTGATTCAATTCATTCCCTATAAAGTCTTAACTGTATACTCAAATTTTTCCTTTGCTTGTAAAATTACTATTGATTATGTGGTGAACAAATCTTTCTAAAAGGCTGTGAGACTTAATCTTGTGAAAACAGAATTTCAGTTGAAGAAGAAATTCATGATAAATATAACAAAGACCATAGATGAGAATAAATACATGTAAATAATAAGTAATAATTACTTGGTCCAGGAAAATGACTTAGCCCAATTAAATATACCTCACTGAAAGTGTTTTTTTACTTCCGTAATGGGAAGCACTTCTGGATTTTCAACTAGGAAATAATTCACACTTTACTAAGGCTTCGCATTGCTGTCCTTTTTGCACAGCATGCATTTTCATTGCCTTCTGAAGTATAGTAGTAAAGTCGTGCTGTCCCTAATGCATGTAATAATAGAAAAATGCTGATTTAAAATAAAAGGATAATTTTGGTGAGCGAGAGTTCAATTATATAAAATTGTTTTTAGATTTGACCTAGAGTGTTGGCTCTAAAAATAAAATAAAACATCTCCACTCCTCCTGTGAAAATGAGAGAGGTGAAATGGCTAGTAAAACTAGGCAAGAACACAGTACATATGATGGATGTGGTTTGTTTTGTTTTGTTTTTAGTGGCCAGGACCTTGGACGCATGAAACAGAAAGGAAACGAGAAATAAACACCTATAAAAATGTTTCATAGAATTTAGACATGAAATAAAGGGATCTAACTATTTCCTTACCAAATAGTCAAAAGCAATTTACAAGTGATGGGAAGCTTTCAGCATACAGTTAAAACCTTACAGGAAATTTGTTAAATCAATTTCACAAAACAAATGAAGTATAGTCAGCATTTTACATAGACTATTTTAATTCTTACAGTAATCTTGTGACTTAGATATTATTTCTGCTTTGCAGTTGAGAAAATTGGCTAAGTTTTCTAAGCTTACTCAGGTAATAAAGATGGAACTTGAACTTAAAACTTTGTATATCTGATTGCAAGGCTCATAATATTTCCACTCTAAGTCATTGCTTTCCTTAGCAGGTATCTATGTTAATGCTTTAAGAGAGGAAAATGGTAGCCCAATTAAGTTACAGATAAAAGGGCAGAGATTAGCTATTATGGCTCTTACTCCAAGACTTTTTCTGCTAAACCAAGGCTCTATTTGTGATGATAGACTGAGTATGAGGTTTAAGAAAGAAAATGAGATCTTCAGTAAGAGATATCTAGGTGCAGTGTGGCCTGTTATAAAGAATATACAGGCCAGGCATGGTGGCTGACGCCTGTAATCCCAGCACTTTGGGAGGCCGAGGCGGGAGGATCACCTGAAGTCAGGAGTTTGAGGCCAGCCTGGCCAACATGGTGAAACCCCATCTCTACTAAAAATACAAAAGTTAGCTGGGCGTGGTGGTGCACACCTGTAATCCCAGCTACTTGGGGGGCTGAGGCAAGAGAATCGCTTGAACCCAGGAGGCAGAGATTGCAGTGAGGCGACAACGCACCACTGCACTTCAGGTTGGGCAACAGAGTGAGATTCTATCCCCACCCACCCCCCAAAAAAAGTATATAGGTGTTACAGATCCATGAACCTCAGTTTAGTGTTCATTTCTATAAAATAGAAAAATAACACTTGTCCTGCAGGATTTATACGTGATAATGTATAAATACTATTGAAAATTTCTGCCCCAGGCTAAGTGATTAATATATGGTAGTTATTATTTTCTTTTTTTTTTTTGTTTACACATGATAGAAATTTATTTTGCACAGTTTTGAAGTCTGGGACGTCCAAAATCAAGACACAAGCAGGTCTGGTGTCTGGTGAGAGTTGCTTGTTCTGCTTCCAAGATGGTGCCGTGGTACTGTATTCTCAGGAGGGCACAGATGCTGTTTTCTCACATGGCAGAAGAAATGGAAGGGTAAGAGGAACTAAGCTAGCTCCCTCCAGTCCTTTTATAAGATGCTAATCCATTTATGGGGGCAAAGCCCTCATGACATAATCACTTCTCCAAAGGCTCACCTCTTAATACCACCACAATGGGGATTAAGTTTCAGCACATGAATTTTGAAAGACTTTAGCAGACCCCAGCAACCATCTTAACTATTTTTAACCACACAATTCAGTAGTATCAAATACATTCAAAATGTTGTGCAACCATTAGGAGTTATTATTTTCATATCTTTTTGCACACTGCTACCTGGACTGAATGAATGCAACCAAGACTGCATTTCCATGCACATAGGAAGTGGCAGTAATCAAGTTAAAGTTAATAGGGGTCACATGAGTTGGATGACAGCAAGGTAGAAGACAGTAGAAGGGACTTCATATTGCTACAAAAAAAAAGGTCAGGCTGTAATATTCAAAAACATAGCAATATCAGGTAAGATATTAAAGGCTGAAAATTTTACTAAACTTGGCTATGGCCACTGCATGGTTATGATACCTACCTCCCAACATAGAAAAGAATACGGAGGAGACCACCACCATCCAGGATGAGATGACATAATTCTGATTCTTGCTTATTTTTAATTAGCTGTCCATGGGAATGGTTTAGGAGCCACGTGATGGATACAATTATCTCATTTGGTACACACATGTTACTTTTCACAGGTCACTTACTTTTTATATTTTATTGTAGTAGTGCGTGTTGCTATGGCAAATACACCCACAGCATCATCCCAAATGTTCTGGTTGCAATTTTATAATGTATGAATTCCCTTCATAAGCCTTCTAAGTTTTCATGGGGTGGTCTGAGAAAAATCAAAATCCCGTTCTAGCTACTAAGCTAATGTCTCAGCTCCACATCCACCTTTCTAGACTAGTGCAGCTGGGGCTGAAATTCTGAAAACCACATCCTCTTTGCCCAATGCTCCATTAGGCTCTACCGAAAGAGAATGCTAGAGATAGACTAAAGAACTGGAAAAAGGACTTGTTCCTTCTTGCATGTTAACTTGATTCCCTGTTCCTCTTAGCATTGCCCCAGTCACACTCTTTCTTCCTTTGGCAGTGGCAGTTTGTTTTAGAATCAGAAGGTTGTCTAGACTGAATTTTTCCCATCATTTGCAGGACCAGTTCATCCAACATCCCTTAGAGATGCCAGCATCAGCTGTCTGCTTACCCATCCTGCAGTGGAGGTTTGAATCCCGGCTTCCAGTCTCTTTCTCTGACTCAGAGACATCATGGCCAGCTGAACACCGTGCCCTACTCTGAGGTCTGAGTTTCACTCCAGGAGGCCACTCCTCCAAGATTTCCAAATTTTAGTGATCTCAACTTCTCATTGTTTCCTCAACTGCATGGGGTGTTTCCTGTAACGGTTTCCTGCCATTTCTGCCTCCATGATGCCTTATGTACAGAAAAGATTTAATATAGCAGGCCTGAGTCCGCTATCCTCAGAAAGTCCTGTTGCAAGTTTGGGCCCCAGCTGGTGTCTGGAAACTAAGATTTTGGGAAGATTCTCACCTTTCCCTGATAAGAATAGCTGGCTGTGCCTAAACTGTGCAAACACAGTTTATACCAAGTGCATACCAAGTTTATATCAAGTGCATACCAGTTTATACCAAGTATATACCAGTTTATACTTGGTGCAAACTGTGGTTTATACCAAGCACCTGCTCTCCTTTGAAGTCTGGAATTTTGGCAAATGACAGGCAGAGAGTGCCTACATGATCAGTCCTCAGTAAGACATTGGGCACTGTGTCTCTAATGAGAATCTCTGGTAGAAAACACTTCATGTGGATTGTCGTAATTCATCGCTGGGAAAATTTAACACATTCTTTGTGACTCCACTGGGAGAAGATGCTTGGAAGCTTAAGACTGGTTTCCTTCTGATTTCATACATGCACCTTTTCTCCTTTTGCTGATTTTGCTTCATATCCTTTTTCTGCAGTAAATTATAGCCTGAGTATGACTATATGCCATATACTGTGAGGCGCTTCAGTGAACCTAGATGTAGTCATGGGGATGCCTGATATACCTTAGTACTTCCTTTTTTTTTTTAGTTATTCCATACTTAAGTTATAATTCTATACATTAGATTTTCTCTGTTAAAAATAACTGGTATAGAGTAAGCCCTAAAACTCTTCTCTACGTACCACAGTTTTTCATAATAAACCAGGTAACCATGTCAGAAGAATTACCTGAACATAAATATTATATACCTATATCTATCTACCTACCTAAGTACCTATCTCTCTCTATATATATAGATATCTATATACATATCAATATATAGATATCTATATACATATCAATATATAGATATCTATATATATCAATATATAGATATCTATATATATCAATATATAGATATCTATATATATCAATATATAGATATCTATATATATCAATATATAGATATCTATATATTGATATCTATATATATCAATATATAGATATCTATATATATCAGTATATAGATATCTATATATCAGTATATAGATATCTATATATATCAGTATATAGATATATATGTAGAGATATATAGATATATATGAGATATATATATCTCATATATATATCTCACATGAGATATATATATCTCATATATATATCTCACATGTATATATGAGATATATATATATATCTCATAGGCTGTAGAGGAAGGAGTTGAGAACTTGTCTTATCCCACATATCAGGTGATATATATAGATATATAGGGAGATATATATATCTCATATATATATCTCACATATATATATGATATATATATGTGTGTGTGTATATATATATATATCATAGGCTGTAGAGGAAGGAGTTGAGAACTTGTCTTATCCCACATCTCAGATGAAGATAATATTTATAAAAAAGTTTGGGGAACATTTCTCAATGATGAGAAGTTTATTCTTTTTGAGCACCTGAGAAGATATTTATAGTAAATTAAATGCCCTTGCCTTGAAGGAGTGAATTCATTTATTTTGCATAAGCAAGTCACTCCTCAGCGGTCATCATATCTTTAAAGACGTAATACCTATAATTTTTGACAAACTACTTTATAGCTATATCATTAGTTATTCATATAAACTGTAAGCAACATCTACTTTGAATTTATTCCAAAGTCTTTGATAAGGTCAACAAAAGTTAAATAGTGTAAGTGCACACATTACAGTAAGGGATTTTACTCCCTGCTTTAACATAGCATTTCATTTTTGGTAGCACAAGCATTTTTGAAAATTTTCCAGAAGACCCATAAGAAAATGACATGTACAATGAGGTTATAGATACGAAAATGCATCTAAATACTTTCTGTGAGGTTGATACTTTTTATCAATAAATTGGTGGAACAAGAATAAAAACCATAAAATTAAAAACATATTACATGCAAATGTGACATTCAGTTTTAATTATGAAAGCAAAGCATAATCTCCTTTTCTTTTCTGAATATATAAACATGTCTGTTGTTTCCACCTTTTTTTCTTCATATATTATCTTGGGCTGGCAGCATGATGGGATAATTTACTGACTGAAAAAGAAAAAAGTGGTGGTGGGCACCTGTAATCCCAGCTGCTCGGAGGCTGAGGCAGGAGAATTGCTTGAACCTGGGAGGTGGAAGTTGCGGTGAGCCAAGATCACACCACTGCATTCCATCCTGGGCAACAGAGTGACTCCTTCTCAAAAAACAAAAACAAAAACAAAAACAAAAAGGCTTGTTATGAGTCATAAGATCATGCTGTAAGTTTCCAAAGGTGATGGGACAGCTAGTGACCTCCTTATTTCATCCTGACTTCTAAAGCAACACTTTGGGCAAATAGAACCACACAAAGGAGCTCTTTGACTGATTGAAGCTATCTGCTTCAGATCAAGTTAGTTTTCAGAATAGAGATAAACATATCTGAGCACTCGTTTGGATTCAGATTGTTTTTTTAACTAGTCTCCACACAACTCTTCCAGCTCTCCTTATACATTAAACACCACCATGAGATACTCAGAACAAGACACATTGGTACTGAATTCTCTGTACCTTTGGATTTAATCGGAGGAAAGTGCTAGGATATCAGCAGTCACAATACCCCTCATCACTTCATGATATTGCCATGTCTACTACTCCTACTTTACAGAACTGCTGGTTTTGACTTGACACTACCCTTGTCTGAAATGAACAAGAACCTTGTACTCGTATTTCAGATTAGAAAACATTTGACTAATTTAAAGGAAGTATTCCAGTTTTTATTAACACTTAACCAAATATTAATGAAAAACAAATATATAAACATATAGAAATGAATTCAGTTATAGAGTATAGGTTCTTTTTGGTTTCATTCAAGATAATTTGAGTAACTTGTTTGCCTCTGGACTGGGCACTAGAGATACAATTTTCCCCACAAAGACCTCCTTTGAGTTGCATCATTGTTTTTCAATGAGACATTGATTGCATTTTGGATGGGATAATTGTTTGTTTTCTCCATATTGCAAAGTATTTAGGAACCCTGGCTTTTTTCTACTAAAACCCTATGGCGCAGCACTTCATAATTTTGACTACCAAATATAGCACACATATCCTTGATGTAAGATGTGCTCCACTTGAAAATCACTACATTTGATTTTATTATAAGATAATTTGTCTAATTTCAACAATTAATTTAAGATCCGATAGGAATTGCTCCAAAATATACCTTCATCTTAGTCCTGCATGAGAGGTTTCCCCTCTTTGTTAACACCTAATTCCTTCACCTATTTTCTGGGCTAGCATCTCAACTTCATCCCACCTATGGAAATAAGGTTTCCAGAGTGGATGATCTTTTTCTTGGAGACTAAAGGCTTTATGTCAGCTTCCTGACATGAAGACTTTTTAATTCTTCATCTTGCAAAGCTGTCTCCTACTACTTAACTACCCACTAAGTTCCATTTCCTGTCTGAGGCAAACCTTCAATTCTCTACCAATTTTCCAAGCACAGATGAATAGTAGGCCCTGAGTCATCAAGGAATTTCCAGTTTGGTTACCAGATTTAACCACTTCCAAGATTCACTCTTTACTCCTTATGAATCATTTGGATTTTTACTTTCTCCTCTCTAATCCTTCAGATGCACATCTTCAAAATCCTATCACCTCAGTTTTATAAGGAAAATCTGCTTCATGCATTTCAGTGACTGTAGAGGACCACTTCTACCTAAAATGAGAAGTGTTTTCTTTCACTCTGGTAAGAAGTTTTTCTCCTAATGCAGTGATGTGTCCAAAAGCTTCAGTACAAACTCTGTTTACTAGCTGTGAAATGAAGAGCATGCCCTTTAGATTCTCTGACTAAATGTCTCTATTTTAAATGAAGGGTAGGGCCAGGTAGTCTCTAAAACTCCCAGGAGTGTTATGAGTCTAGAAGATTAAATGCTAGAAGAAGTTGAGTGATTTTTTTCTGTGAAGTAGAAAACCAGTGATATTGGTATTTTAAACTGTAGAGTGTACTATAAATTTTGATTACATGTAGTTTTTGAGTAGTCATTGGGTTATGATTAATACTTTGAAGTATATGGAAAAACTAATATAAGAAACATGTGAAAGTGGCTTCTGCACTATACTTCTAGGAGAGTCTCTAGAGTTTGATGTTTTTCCCAAATTTATACTTTACACAATCGAATTTTGCTATTGTCTAAGTGCCAGGGTCCATGCAAGGCAGACAAGAAAATATTTGAGTTGTTCAGGCTAAGGATCTTTTTTCCTGAATATAAGTCAAGGCTGAACATGACAATATGTTCCCAAATCAAATCAATTTCTTAATAGCGAAGAAAAAAGGGGAGAAGTAAACAAACAATGGAACTTAGTTTTATATTCCATATTTTAAATCACTATCTTTAATCCAGTTGTGTTAAAATGATAAAGTACATGAATTAATATTAAATATCATATTAAAATGATAAAATACATGAATTCAGCCACATGTCCGAAGAATCTCAGCGAAGTGTCAGTTTGATAATGAACTAAAATATTTATGGCTATAAATAAGCACTTGGAAATAGATTCATGACCATAGATTAAGTGACATGCAAATATTTTAAATCTATTATAACACTAAATTATTCCTTGCCATTCCTCCATGAAATCCATATTTTTTTGTCCTGTAAATAGCTATATTAATTCTGAAATACTTCTTTCTAAATTTCTTTCACTGTAAAATTCAGGGAAATCGTGGAACCCCATTAGAATGATATTTGCCAATTTAAAAACTCAGGTCTCTTCTAACTATGTGGGAACTATGGGAGGTCAGTGTTTTATATGCTGACAGTGTTTTCAGTACTGATTCACTGCATTGTAGGAAGATGATGATACATCATCAGTCCTTGGCTCAAACCCTCCAGTGGCCCCTCATCTCACCACAGTAAAACCAAAGCACTTACAGTAGCCTACAGGCACCAACAAGAACTTTCTCAACTATCAGTTTCCTGACCTCTCTCCCACTCATTTCATTCCAGCCACACTGGTTTCCTTGTACTATAATTCCTCATACTTCACGTATTACTTTGCTTAGATAACTCTCTCATATCCTTCAAACATTTGCTTAAATATTACCCTTTCAGTGATGACAATCACTTTATCCCAGTTCCCTTAAATCAATAGTCAAAATTTAGTTTACCTTGCACAATTTTTTGCTGGTTTGCAAGATATGTAATGCCTTATAAAAATTCCATAAATTTACTTACATATTCAATTTATTGAGTGATATCTGTCTATATCCTGATAAAATGTAAACAGCACAAAAGCAGGGTCATTTATCTGTTTTGCTCATTAATGTGTTACAACTGCCTAACACAATGATTAGCTCAAATTGAGCACTCAATAATTTTTTTTAATGTAAAAGAACAGCATGATTAGGTAATGATGATGATGATGATAGAGTATTCTGGGGTTTGTTTTTTCTTTTTTGCACTGGGCTAAGTAATTTACTTTCATAATTGACCTAAACTTCTTCCTAAACACTATGGCATATAGACATTACAACCCTCATTCTAACAATGAGAAAACTGTGGCTTCAGAAGTCAAGGAATTTGTCTCAAGTTATACAGCTAGTGAGCTAGTAGAATGGGGACTTAAATCTAGATCTGTCAAACTTCAAGGTCTATTCCCCTACTGTGCTATAATTCCTATATATTATAATTTGGGTAAGTTACTTTCATACTTGCTTTGAATTCTAATCTATAGAGAAAATGAATTTATTTAACATGGTCAGTATATGGCATATACAGTATATGGTTTAGCATATGTCCTTTAGTTAATCCATTTCATTTTTAGATGCTCTGTTACTCTGGTTCTTGAGTTCATGAATCATTTATCCCACTTCTATTCACTATCCAAAACACTGAAAATTAATTCTTCTGAGTATCCTGTGAAAGTCTATTGGCACAAATGAACTATTTGGACATGAAACATAGAGATTAGAAACCTTTTATTAACTCAAATTGCCTGATAACACAAAGCAACAAGCAAGGAAAGTTATGGTGTATGAGGAAGCAAATTGTCAAGGGAAGGAGCACAAAAGGCGAAAGGTTCCACATGGCCTACTTAAAAAGGAAACAAGCAAGAAATATAACAATTTTTATTTTTATTTTTATTTTTACTTTTTTTTTTTGAGACCGAGTCTGGCTCTATAGCCCAGGCTGGAGTGCGGTGGCGTGATCTCAGCTCACTGCAACCTCCGCCTTCTGGGTCCCGGCTCAGGAGATTCTCCTGCCTCAGTCTCCCAAGTAGTTGGGATTATAGGCAAGCACCACCATGGCCAGCTAATTTTTGTATTCTTAGTAGAGAGAGGGTTTCACCATATTGGCCAGGCTGGTCTTGAACTCCTGACCTTGTGATCCACCCACCTCGGCCTCCCAAAGTGCTGGGATTACAGGTGTGAGCCACTGCACCCGGCCACTAATTTATATTTTTTATAGTTATTTTATATTACTACCCCTTCTCAACATGGTATACATGTTATGAAGAGTGGAAATGGAAAATAGGAAGAGGAAAAAATGTGTAAAAATATAAATAATTCAATGGGAAATATTGTCATTGTAAAGTGCAGTATACATGGCAGTTAAATGTATGCTCCCTAAATTTGCAACATTTTGTCTATGTATTTATTTTTTAAGAGATTGCATTTTGCTATGTTGCACAGGCTGGTATTGAACTCTTGGCTTCAAGCAATCCACCCTCCTCGGCCTCCCAAAGTGTTGGGATTACAGGCATGAGCCACTATACTTGGCCAAAGTCTGCAACATTTTTAAATTGGTGAAAACATTGTATCTATCTCAAAAAGAATTAAATGAGTTCATACATTTAAAAATGATTAGAAACAATGTCTAATTGGCATAAATGTTTTTTATAATTATTTTTGTGATTCCAATGAATAGAAACAGATCTCTCTTTAATTTCCTATTATGGAACTCAATTGTCCATGACTTATTTGATGGCATTTCTACTTAGTAGAGGGCAGATTCAAATCCCAGTCAATTTCAGGTTTTCATACCCTTCCTTTTTCTTTTGTTCCCCTCTGCAGTATCTGGGCATAGATGAAAACATACATGCCATTATTAAGAAAAAGATACTTGCTTATCTGAATACTATCCTGCACGTCTTAGTTGGCCTTGTACCTAACTCCTCATGGCCTTTGGGCATGCATTACATCTATACAAATACCTATGGTTCTGGCAATGGCCACAAGTCACAGCCTCCCCACACTCTGCATCTCTTTCCTCCAGACCTCAGGCTCATTCTAGTCACCAGCTCTCTCAGCACTTCTGTGTTCATCACTGGAGCTCCAGAAATGACTGAATTTCCCACATACCATGAACAGTAAATGGGAATGGGGAGCATTAATCCAGGCTTGTTCTTTTCCCACTCACACAATGTCACTGTTTCTATCTAATAGCATCACTCCACGTGGTCATGGAGCACTCCTCCTCTCAAAGCTCCAAATGAAAGATAGCATACAAGCCTCCTCTCCTTTCCTATTCCCCCACCCAATATATGGTTTCTATCACCTAACTCTGCCACTGTTGGCCAAAGACCAGGAAATGGCAATGCTGAATTTTATCTCAGGGAACAAGGCAGCACCTTAAATCTAGTTTCATGCCATTCAAATCTCCTAGGAAGTGTTTTGTGGAAAGACCTTCCACTACATTGCATCTTGCATCTTCTACATCCTGTGGCTAATCATTAAAATCAGTAATAGAAAAATCCTTAGTGCACTGAATAAGGTTTAGATTTTGAAACTTCATAAGAAGAATTTGGATGTGTAATTCTCTTTTCTGTTTTTTTAAAGTTATGGTTGATGATTTAATATTATAAAATCATGGGTCACAGGAATGACCAGGAATCAAAAATTCATAGGATATTAATTTAAAAACTAACTTTGCAAGAGCACAGAAGGGGAAAGAAATTCTCATTTACTAACTACCTATTATTATTTCCCAAACTGCATGTTAAGTTTTAATGAAATATTCAACATTTATCAAAAGATCATAAAGTGAATAAAAATCTTATTTTATTTCTTACTATGGATGTCAACTGTATTTAAATAACTCTTCTGGGCATGATGGCATTCTGATTCTGGTTCCAGTGCCTTCCTTACCCACCCATATGGCATCTTGAGATGCATTAAAAGTTACATGCCATGGTCACTTTATTCCCAGCAACAGGCCTCCATTGGCTATTTGCCCCCATGTGACTTTTGCTTTGAATTACACTATAAGTCAAACTATCAGGAGAAGAAATTTATTTGCTCCCTGTTTTCCAACTATTTAATACCATCCCTTTTAAGGCTTTGCTTTTGCCTGTTTTTCTATTTATTGAACTTCATACAATACAGATTATACAATGTAATCTTTCTATTGTTGCGGGAAGTTAGGGACCCCAAATGGAGGCACCAGCTGGAGCCGCAGCAGAGGAACATAAATTGAGAAGATTTCATGGACATTTATCAGTTCCCAAATAATACTTTTATAATTTCTTATGCCTGTCTTTACTTATCTCTTAATCCTGTTATCTTTGTAAACTGAGGATGTACGTCACCTCAGGACCACTGTGATAACTGTGTTAACTGTACAAATTGATCGTAAAACATGTGTGTTTTGTTTGAACAATAGGAAATCAGTGCACCTTGAAAAACAACAGAATAACAGCGATTTTTAGGGAACAAGGGAAGACAGCCATAAGGTATGACTACCTGTGGGGTTGGGCAAAAAGAGCCATATTTATCTTCTTGCAGAGAGCCTATAAACAGACATGCAAGTAGGGAAGATATCACTCAATTCTTTTCCTAGCAAGGAATATTAATATTAATACCCTGGGGAAGGAATGCATTCCTGGGGGCAGGTCTATAAACGGCCGCTCTGGGAATGTCTGTCTTGTGCAGTTGAGATAAGGACTGAGATACGCCCTGGTCTCCTGCAGTACCCTCAGGCTTACTAGGGTGGGGAAAACTCCACCCTGGTAAATTTGTGGTCAGACTGGGTTCTCTGCTCTCGAACCCTGTTTTCTGTTGTTTAAGATGTTTATCAAGACAATACGTGCACTGCTAAACATAGACCCTTATCTGTAGTTCTGCTTTTGCCCTTTGAAACATGTGATCTTTGTACCTACTCTCTGTTCTTACACCCCCTCCCCTTTTGAAACCCTTAATAAAAACCTGCTGGTTTGAGGTTTGAGGCTCAGGTGGGCATCACGGTCCTACCGATATGTGATTTCACCCCGAGCAGCCCAGCTGTAAAATTCCTCTCTTTGTACTGTCTCTCTTTATTTCTCAGCCAACTGACACTTACGGAAAATAGAAAAAACCTACATTGAAATATTGGTCGTGTTTCCCCCCAATATTCTTTACCTGTAATATTCAAATAATGCAAGCTAGAATAAAATTGGCTTCATATAGGGACATCTCTAGTCCTAAAATGTATATATTTCTTTAAAAAATACTATAAGGAGTTTGTCAAAAGTATTACAATTTCTCTGCCATTAATTTCCTTTTTTTTTACTTGCTAGAATCTTGAAGTATGCTATGGAACCCCAATCTTGCAACCAGGAATGTGATAAAATGTTTTTAAAAATGCATAAGACATATATCTAGTTCCAAGTATTTTTACTGCAAAAACATGCAATTAGAACTCCTTATCTCACTACATCAGATGATTTCCTCACTTAAAACTGTTTAGATGTTTTGGAAATTTCATTGTATCGTATAGCCGTCTTGGGGCTATCCAATCCATGTATTTGTTTTTAAGGCTATAAATATTATTGTGGAGATAATTGTTTAACTTTATTTAGCAAATCTGCAAACATATTGAACCACAGGAATCATGATTCTCTTTCTTTCTCCCTAAATTAATTAGTGCATTGTGAAGCACCCTTGGGATCCGATACTAGTGCATTACTATGTTTTGCATGCAATACTTTTTGAAGATATTATAATAGTGACAAGAGCTTATAGATAAACTAGGACTAAATTATAAAGTAGGACTAAATTACTACCTGTACACAGATGGATGTGATGAGTAGAATAAAATCTTTAGCAGGGATTGCCTAGAAGTAATTGGGAAGAGAAAACATGCTTAGAGCAGAAGAACTTGCTCCATTGTAGAACTTGTACTGTCAGGAGAAAGTCTAGGAACACTTTTGTCCAAGTGTTAAAAAGAAATATAAAACAGACAAGAAGAGAATGTATGAAGTTTCCAAAAAAAAAAAGTTTATCTACTTTACTCGCATTTTTTAGAACTATTCTTGGTGATAGTTCTCCATAATCTTAAAATTTCATTCCATATATTAAAATCATCAATACCTGCCAGATATCCAATGCTAAAAATACCCCTACTTAATATGATTATCTGGTGCAGGAGCCCTTCAACAATTGAGGTAATATCTTCTAGAAAAACATACGAAAATTCAAAGAGATGTATTATATAGTGAACTCTAATCATTAATTGGAAGTAAATAGTTATGGTCATTGTTTAAAGAAAGTAACAGGTAATTTGAGAATCAGTTCAAGATATACCTGAACTTACAAAAATGAGTGTAAACTTTACTTAGAGAGACTGATGGCCCTTTCTGAAATGAGTAAGTGTGGTAAATATGTGGCCCTGGGTTTTCTGCAGTTTGTAAGATAGTGTTAACATGCAACTTTCCCCTCAGCCCATTCCTAAGCCTCCCTCTGACTCTCCACTCCAACTTGGTACAAGTCTTCTTCCATTTCTCCTACCCTAGACTTTGGTGTCACAGATGGAGTAAAGTTAAAGTGTAAAGTGTGGCTCAGAATTGGGATAAGCATTTGTCTTTTGTAAATTTCTTGGTGATAAAAAATGGTAAAAATTTAGAATCTGAATTTCAGAGTACATAAAAATTGCTATATTAGAAACTTACCAAAATGGTTTTCTTACAACTATGTTAACATGTCTTATAGTTCTTCCTGGCTAAATGCTTTCTATCCTATGACAGCACGGAAGTTACTTCTCAAAAGTCTTCTTGGCCTTCTAAGTCAGAGGTAATGGTTTCTTCTTTGAGTTCTTTTAGCAGAATGCATTGTACATGTAACGTAAGACACAATGCTGGTTTCCTTCTCTTTTACAAGGAGATCAAGCTCCTTGAGACACAGAGCAGATCTTCTTTGTCTACATATTCCTCACACCTAGCACAAAGGCCTGTCATTTAATTGGAACTCAAAAATGTATCATATAAAGATTAAATAATAGATCTATAATAGTAATAAGTCTTAACTCACCAAGATTAAACTACTGAATTAGAAATGATTTACTTGCCAGTAACTTCAAAAATACCTATTAACTTGTCTTTGGTAAAACTAATAAGCAAACAAATACTATTCATATTTATAACATAAGTTATAATTTAGTTTGAAACATCATAGACATTGGTGAAAATGCACAAAGCTAATGTATGTCAGTTAACAAAATATGAATTAGGATTGTGTTAAGAAAAGACACACCCAGTTTCCATGGTTAGGAATATTTAAATACTTCATTTGAATAAATTGTCCTTAATTAGCTTCAAGTTGTATTAAAGAAAAGTACATGGATAGACTGCTACTTAAAACTAAAACTAAAATTCTAAGCAAAGCTTCCTGCCATGAAATTACCAGGTTGTTCCATAGTCCTTATTGAGATTTGATAGTTCATAAGTAATCTCTTCACAATCCAAAATGTTACCTGGCTAACACTTTAATCTGCTTTTCTTCTGGAAAACTGTGGCCTTCTGATAGTATTCCTTCACTGGTCTAGTATATTAATTAGTCTATTAGTAGATGTGTTAGGCTGCTTGGAAAAATAACAGGGGTCAAACTATTCACAACATATGGACCCTATTTCTAGGGTCAAATTCTACTCAAAATGGTAGTATAATATTAGTAAAAGCAATGCCTTTTGCATCTTATAAAAATCAGCTGTGAAAAGGTACTTATACTGTATTTCTAACCTGATTCGCATAACATACACAATATCAGGGCTAGTATTTTTAATTTTAAATTATAGATTTTTAAAGAAGGCTGTTTCTCAAAATGGGTAAATTATTTCAGTTTTAAAAGCTAAAAAAAAAATATTTGAAACTATTACTAAGACCCACACCTTTTCGCTACACCACTCTGAGTAGAAAATGGAAGTTAGTGATTATTGAAAACAATTCTTCTATTCATATTCCAAACTCAGAGATATGTACTTAGGACAGACTAAGCTAAATGTTATACTATCTAAAAGCCACACCACACAAGAATAACACCTTAAAGCTAGTATAATAAATGTGTTTGTTGAATTATGACTCAAATGTGGGATTTTCATCAGCAGTTATCCTTCCCATCCTGGCACCTCAAACATGTTACCATTTTCTTTCACTATTTTATTCAAGGGTCTCATTTGTGCTGAAATTTTTAAAGACTTAGAATTATTCTCACCTTGACACAACACTTTGTTTTTTTGTTATGACTATAAAAAATAATGTTTTTATAATCCTCCGTTTTGGAGTAGAACTGTGAAAAGTAGCTTTTGACGTTTGGTATTATTATTTGCTTTCCTTTTTTGGCAGTTGATCTTGGCATCCTAGACTGTTTTTTCAAACACTGTAGCAATAGCATACTCTTCAGAGTTTGGCTAATGATCTAAAACTAGGAAAGCTAGAAAGTCTCTGTGTAATTCCCTATTCAGTAATTACTCAATTTTAACTTTTTTTTGGTCAAATTTTCACTCTTAATTAGTTAACCATAAATATGCAAATGCTTTATTATGATGTAGTGTTAACATAGAAAAAAAATCAGGCTTTATAAATTATCCTAAGTTGAGTCTAGTAGCAAATGTAGGATTGGCAGAAATAATGATTTCTAATTTAAAACACTTATTGATGTTAATACATTTATAATTTGAAAAAGAAATAAAAATACCCTTAACCCAATGTATTACCCATAACGCTGCATTGCTCTAAAAAATCTAGTTCAAATTTCACTCCACATTATATGCCTTTATTTTTCCTCTTACTCAGTTTGTATTAATCATTAATTATACTTCAATGCCTTATTTAATAGAATAATTATGAAGTGCCACCTTTGTTCACTGGCTTTTGGGGATCATTTCATTTAAAAAATAACGAGGAATAGATTGTGCCTCGATAAGATACAGGACTAATTATATATGCCTTTATTTCTGGAGACATTTATTTTAGTGCAAGTTGCTTATTAATTGGTCTAATCCTGGATCTATAAAATGTTCCCAAACAATGCATGGTAAAAATTAGGAATTGTTGTAAAATATAAATGAATTTATTTCAAACAGAAGTAATAATTGCAAATAAACTGTGCCCATTAGGTATATAAACTCACATGTTTATACAACCTTGTTAGTTAGGTACTGCATTTTACAAATGAGTACCCAAGGCTTGGAAAGTTTAAAACGATTGCAAAAATTCCTGTAGCTATTAAATTCCTGAGCTAACATAAGAACCCAGTTCTAACAAAAACAGAAGACCATGTTTGGAAGCATTTGCTATAGACTGATAGGTAGGAAAGTGCATATCACATGTATGGGTTATTCAGAAATATAAGTTTAACAGTACTGCATACGACTATGTCACAAACATTTTATATGACTTTGGATAAGCTGCTCACTGAGATTCAATACCCACACCCATAAAATGAAAGTATGACTCAGCCAAATCCAATTAAAACAAAGTTTTAGAGGACATAAATTTGGTGCAAAGTAATTATGACAATGATGGTAAGCACTAAAAACAACACTTGGCAACAAAATGAGTTCACACAAGTGAATATCTAAACATGTTAGTGCTCCAAAACTCTGTGTTACTCCTTTCCTGTCAATAGCGCTGCTGCTTATGAATTACAGCAACATGCAATTATGAGACCACAGAAGCCTCAAAAAACACTGAGCCCAGGAAACTCCTGTCAGACATAACAAGAATGTACTTGAATGCTACTAAAGAAATAACAAACCTGAGGTTCTTCTTCAGTTTGCGAGAAAATACTTTTAAAATAGTCTGGATTGTCTGCATAAACTTGATCAGTTTCTATTTTAGCTGATTTTCTAATTATATTGAAATAAAAACAATTAAATTTAGAGTACAAGAAAAGATGAAATAGCTCATCTCCAGTGTGACAAAATCTACCTAGTCCTTGGACCCTATGGGAAGGATGGCAATATATACACTCCAGTGTTTTTCTTCTGAATCTTAACCAAACTCTGTTTTTCTTCCATTGCTTTGCCGTAGCTACCCAAATGTCCAGGTAAAGTATTTATTTCCCTAACACTCCCCAAGCACAAACAAAACCCCCTCTATTGATTTCTACCACCACCCCCCGAAAAAAAAATTAGACACTGAATTTTATTAAAGTCTTTTTCAAAACATACTAGAATATTAAGGTGATTCACAAATAAAACTATAAAACCTACAAAGCAAAGAGACTGGCTTAAATATTACAAGCATTAGATTCTACGTCAATCTAAAAACGACATAGAAATCTGATAATTTCTAGAATAATCATTTCATTCTAAAAATGAGAAATGTGTATTTCACAAATAAATTGGCTTTTATGTGAAATAGAAATCTTAGAAAAATAAAAATAAGAGAAATTCACTAAAATGTGTAGAAAAGAATCATGCTTGCTCATAGTTGGCAGCATCAGGGAAAATATGTGAAATGTGCAGACTAAGAAATTTGAGGTTCAGAAATGTGTCCTGTACCCTGAACAATAAACCTGTGATTGCATTAGCAAAATGAAGTAGAGAATTAAGGGCATCATACAGATCATAATTTCAATAACCTATAGTTTCAATGTTCTAATAATAAGAAATGGCCATGCACACAAATGTATTTTTATCATCACGAAAGTATGGGGTTGAAATACTTATCCTGGGAGTAGCTGTGGGATCTAACAATGAACAGTGGATCAGCAGCAACCACTGGTTTGTTCATTCAAATGCTGCTTGTTGAACTCCTACGTGCTAAGGCACTAGACAGTAAACAAGTGAGACAAGCCTGGCAGTCATGCCAATTATTTCCTAGAAAATAAACAAGTAAATAAATAAAACAACAACAGATAGTTTAAAAAAAAAGTACTGTATAACTAAAATGGGTGATATTGAAGAGAGTAAGGGAAAGAGTTATAAATTAAGATAATATGTTCAGGGAGGCCCTCTTTCATAAAGTGCCACTTGATCAGAAACCTACAAAACAAGGAGATAATCCCTGAATCTAGAACAGAATTGTTCAACAGAGGTTAAAAAAAAAAAAAAAACCGGTTGGCATTTCTGGAGCATCATGCACTGGAGTAAGTGTGAAATGAAGTCTAGGTGGGGGAAGGGGAGCTTAATTCCACTGAGGGCACTGAACATATTCTATATGATTCAACTCTGGATTCATTTTACTTGTTCCATAACTCTGCAAATGGTCAACTTGAGTAAATGTTGGAAATGCACTTAGAAGAATGTGTATTCCACCATTACTAAGAATCATGTCATCTGTGTATGCTAAACCATCTGTTTAGCTTGTTGTTCATATCATCCTTCTCTGTTTTGAATGGGAATCTGCGTCAGTATCTTGTTGAAAGAAGCACACCAGAACTTCCAACAGCGGTTGACATTTTCTTATTTCTTCTTTTACTTTGGTCACTTTTTGGTTCTTGTTGTTTTGCCATTAAAAGTAATGGCCATTTGGCTAGTCGAGGTCTTTTGTGATTCCATACACATTTTAGGATGTTTTTTTCTACTTCTGTGAAGAACGTCATTGGTATTTTGATGGGAATTACATTGAATTTGTACATTGTTTTGGATGATATGGATACTTCAACAATATGAATCCTTCCAATCTATCAAGAAATTCTTCAGTTTCTTTAATCAGTGTCTTATAGTTTTCAGTGTAAATATCTTTCACCTCCTTGGTTAAATTTATTTTTAAGTATTTAATTTTTACATAGCTTTTGCAAATGGGATTTTTTAAATTGATTTCTTTTCCAGATAATTCGCTATTAGTGTACTGATCTTCTATCCCAGAGGCTTTGGTGTTTCTGGTTCTCTGCTCTATAGTCTTTGGATAAGAAATTAATTGAAGGAAATACAATTTTTGAACAATTAGATCAATAGTCTTCATATGAAGCCTATTAGTGCCTCAGAGAACACAGAATTTAAAATATAGCAGGATGATAATACTGCATAAAAAGTATTTATAAAACAAACTCCATTTAATTGAGTTAATTGGGCTTCCTTCTGTGAGATATTGGTCATGACTTAAAACACACATATACATATGAGATAAAATTTAAAGGAGTAATCATGATGGTGTTTTTTAAAATTAAAATATTGTTTTATGGTTTAACTGACACTTTTTAACTCAAGAAGAAAGTAAAAAGAAAATCTGGTCTTTTTTACTTTTCTGAAGCAAGAGGTGAAAGATATCCTCTCTAAATGAGATATTAACTTTTCCTTCAGAATACCTTATCAGTGTACCATAATGCTACGCAGTATACTATAGATATAGCAATTTTAGCTAAACTATTTCTAACTAACATTTCTTTTAAAAATTTAGAAACTATCAACCAAACTTAGTAATTAGTAGAACTTCCAACCAGATGTATTGATTCTATATTTCAAAAATAGAGCTAAGTAACAGAAGTTATCTGTGATAATTAAAATTAATATTTATCATTATGTTGTCAGAATATGATGTATTCTGATATCATACTCAGGTATGTAACATATTCATACAGAATATGATGTATAACTTAGAAGCAAGTTTCTTTACTCCTACTGAAAATTATCTGTTAACCTCATTATTTAACAAATATAAAACTTAAGGGACATATGGGTTTTACATATATTTCATATTGACCCAGAATCATAATTACAGAATATTTAATAAAATATATTCTGATCTGGAGGGATATAGTACATTACATAACTTGAGAGGCAACTTTACTTCATATTTGGCTCTCTTGAGTAGGTAAGGAACTGCACAGCCTTCAGGCTCAGCAATAGTGAGGTCACTCCAAGGTGAGGCCAAATCCCACTGGGCCCAGACAAGGCAGGAAAAATATGACCACACATTAGCAACAGTGATCTCTAACAGCAGAATCCAACAGCCTAATGTTTTACTTCCAAGAAACAGCTTGTGCTGGTGTTATATTTTCCTCCAATTGGTCTTGAGGTCTTTCTCTTGATAGTGGCCATAATCCAAGATACCCACTCTCTAGGAGTGCCCTGGCCTCTCTAGGTTCATGTGTGTTGATCAGGTGACACATAGAAGAGGCAGCAGAACAAAATATAAATGAATGGCATGAAATAACATAAGCAATCTTTATTCCTTTAGATCCCAGAGAGGAGAGGGCATCATGCCTCACAGGGCCCGTGGGAAAGGAAGAGTTATCTGGGACACGCATGCTCAACCAGCTGGTGGGAAGCAAGAAAAGAAGAGAGAGAGCAAGAGACCAAAGAGTCAAAGCTTTCATTGGGTTCCAAAGCATTACCCAAGCAGGTTTCCCGAAGAGAGCTCTAAACAGTGAGTTTAAAGCAAGCAGGTACAAGTTCCAGAAGATCACACTGTGACTGACAGGAGGTCACTATGCCATATCTACGCAGTCCATGTGGGGTACAAGGGTCTGAGGAGTGAGTCACATAGGCTGTTTCTAGCTGTCCTATAGGAAGGTGGTCATCAAAAAGCAGTTGTGAAAGGCAGATATCTGGATCCATCACACTGAAGAACTGGGAGGAGTTAGAGAGTTGTAGACTATATCAAGGGTAATTCCTGTTTCTGGTATGAGAAAGTCCAATTTAAATTTAAAATAAAGGCTTAGGCAACATGGGATTATAAGAATTCACTACAGCTACTCTAATGTAGAGATGATGGGGGATCTAGAGGGAGCTATGTGTACTGGAGATTCCTTTTCCCCAAGTTGATGACAGCTGATGAGCTTGACTAGGTCATTATAAACATACATATTTATATGTATATTTACATATACATAATCTGTATAACCTGTATTTTCTCCTTGCATCACTGTAATATGTGCCAAAAAATATAAAGTTTGATATGCAGTTTAACACTTATCTCCTATTATCAAATGCAAGTTGAAGGTTTTCCCTTAGATTGTGCGAAGAATTGTATTCTCCTTCTATATGCATATGTATGATAATATTGTTAGTTATCCAATAATGTTATTGTGAAAAGAAATTACAAATAGGATATTTAGCCATAATTTTCAAAGGATGACATGTGGAGACTACATCAGAATTGGCCAATTATTCAATAAAAGTGTAGATAACTTGGTCCTACCCCTGTCTACTAAATCATAATCTCTGAGAAGAGTCTAGGCACTTGTATTTCTAACTAATTCACAGGTGGAAGTTAGGCACAATAAAGTTTAAGAAATACTTGCAGATTTAGGTGATTAATATAAGTACTAGATTATTATATACCAGGTATCAAAAGAATATTTGGTATCATGAAATAAATTTTAAAATAAATAGAATTTCATTTTCAATAGTAATACTCAACATTGGTACCATTAAACTTGACATTTGGAATACAACTTTGAGATTGAAACCCATACGAAAACTTGCAAATGCTTTATGCCTTTTCCTTTCTTAAATAACATCTTCTCATTCCAAGGTTGTAAAATATTTTGACATAAAATCAGTATATAGAATAGTTTGTTTCAGCAATAAAAAATAATCACAGGAAATTTAGGGACAGAAGGTTATTTACATTACCTCTACCAATTACGTAATTTCACAGAGAGCAAGACAAAGTGGTAGTTAAATGCTTCTATTGAAGCATTGCAGTTAGAAAAGAGTTGCAGTTAGAATTGCAGTTAGAAAAGAGCCAGTATTTGAACCTACACTTAGTAATATCTTACCTGTTCTCCACTGTCTTCCTTCTACACTACTATACCTTTCTCTTTGTTTTTTTGTTTTTTCTCACATGGTGAATATCTTCTAATCAAATCACAATATGGCCTCAAACAATATATGACTAAGGTGTTTTGAGGAACAGATTGGATGTATGGTCTGATTTTATCCATGCACTATTGCACGTAGGAAATTCTAACTGAAGTCAGTGCTCAACCTCCACTGTGAAAAAGAAGAAAAACTGAAAATGACACAACTCTCCATACAGACATAAATCACCCAGAACACTATTTCTGGATATTAAGCCAAATTCTCTCTATTCTTTCTATTCAAATAAACAAGACTAAGCATGAGAAAAATGAAGCTGGAAAAAAAAAAACACAGAAAGTTCTGTCTTTATTCAAAGAAAGCCAAATCTATTTTCAACGTTATTTCTGTCTGGCAGAATAGATTGTGTGTGTGTATTTTCTTAATAATATGTGAAGAGTAAATCTGAGACCCAGACTTTGTGTGGTTAAATATGGGAGACTGACAATGTGTTTCTCTCCACTGATTTTGCAGCCCCTCTAAATGAGAGTGAGCATGCACAAAATATGCATAAAACATTAAGGGCAGATAGAATAGCTGAGACAATGAAGTCAGAGAAGTTATTTTTAGAAACCAGAAAATAGATGGACAAGTGGTAACATATTTAGGAAACTAGAGGAAGTTGTGTTCTAACTCTATTTTGATGTGTCCCCAACCTTCATAGTTTTTATGTCAGTGCAGCAAATATCTTCATTCTTTGGCCATTGTGATCCTTTTCCATTGGCTCCTGTGTACTTTAAACAACACCCCAGTACCTTTGAAAGCTTCTTTATTTTCTGATTTATAGAGCTCGGTCAAGTCCATTTTATATGCTTTCTGCCTCTAACCTGAAAGCTGTTTCTCCAAAGAGTCCTGGTTACTTTGAGTGTGAAAGAAATATTCAGAGATCATAATCTGGGCACCCAGTGTGATCATTTTGACTGAGTCTGTTCACTTCACCCCAAAGTAATTCTATCAATACTGTTGGTTTGGTATGACCCAGTTTCAGGTTCATTCTTCTCAAAGCAGTCTTGCCATTTGACTCTTCGCTCATTGTCATGTTTTTAGAAACTCTAAATATTCACTGTCCCGAAGTGTGACACATGAGACATTATCAACAGAATTTAGGAAATAATTTAATATGATGCTGTCACTGTCTAACATTCTTGCTTAAGAGTGGGGAAAGATTATTTTTAGCTGCCATGATGTTAGTGTTGATGACAGGACAAGAGAGTTTGTGGCTATTTGTATTCTCACAACAAACTTTATACTACTTCTTAATAAAAATTTCCATTTTCGTGTGTGTATTGTGAAGCCTAATTGTCAACCAAGTACACTTTGACTTCTAATCATATTTCCAAAGGTATGATGAAAAAATAGACACTTAGAAGACATAACACATATAGTACCTTCTTAAAGGCAGTTTTCAACCTATTTCAGGAGACAAACATAATACTAAAGCAAGATTTAAGAAAAAACACACAGAATAGACAAAGCTGTGGAATAATATAATAGATATATCAATTATATATAATTTTAGAAGAGAAATAAATTTGAGCAAGAAATCCATCCATTCATTTATATATTCATTCAGATATTTACGTATCTTTTTGTGGGGAAAAGCAAGAGAGATCAGATTGTTACTGTGTCTGTGTAGAAAGAAGTAGACATAGGAGACTCCATTTTGTTATGTACTAAGAAAAATTCTGCCTTGAGATTCTGTGACCTTACCCCCAACCCCGTGCTCTCTGAAACATGTGCTGTGTCAACTCAGAGTTGAATGGATTAAGGGCGGTGCAAGATGTGCTTTGTTAAACAGATGCTTGAAGGCAGCATGCTCCTTAAGAGTCATCACCACTCCCTAATCTCAAGTACCCAGGGACACAAAAACTGCGGAAGGCCGCAGGGACCTCTGCCTAGGAAAGCCAGGTATTGTCCAAGGTTTCTCCCCATGTGATAGTCTGAAATATGGCCTCGTGGGAAGGGAAAGACCTGACCGTCCCCCAGCCCGACACCCGTAAAGGGTCTGTGCTGAGGAGGATTAGTAAAAGAGGAAGGAATGCCTCTTGCAGTTGAGACAAGAGGAAGGCATCTGTCTCCTGCCTGTCCCTGGGCAATGGAATGTCTCGGTATAAAACCCGATTGTATGCTCCATCTACTGAGATAGGGAAAAACTGCCTTAGGGCTGGAGGTGGGACCTGCGGGCAGCAATACTGCTTTGTAAAGCATTGAGATGTTTATGTGTATGCATATCTAAAAGCACAGCACTTAATCCTTTACATTGTCTATGATGCAAAGACCTTTGTTCACGTGTTTGTCTGCTGACCCTCTCCCCACAATTGTCTTGTGACCCTGACACATCCCCCTCTTCGAGAAACACCCACAAATGATCAATAAATACTAAGGGAACTCAGAGGCTGGCGGGATCCTCCATATGCTGAACGCTGGTTCCCCGGGTCCCCTTATTTCTTTCTCTATACTTTGTCTCTGTGTCTTTTTCTTTTCCAAATCTCTCGTCCCACCTTACGAGAAACACCCACAGGTGTGGAAGGGCAACCCACCCCTACATCTTTTTCCAAAGATGTTGAAGATATTTATAGAAACGCATACAATATAAATATAAAAAGAACTACAATGCCTACAATTGTCCAGGGAACAAGAAAATTGAAGAGAAATTTGGCAACAAGTATTAATCGCTTTAGAAATATGAGTAACTTATGAACTGAGACTTTTACTTTCATTAATTTACATTAATAATATGAAGTTAAATATTTAGCAATTAAGATACTTGACACTGCTGTTCATCACAGTAGTAACCTGTTAACCATTAAACACAGCATAAATGCTCAAATATATAAGAATACCTCAATTAAATAATGATTATTCATATGAAATATTATGAAACCACTAAATATTATATGTTAAAAGAATATTTAATAACCTAAAAATCATCATGTTAATTTTCAAAAGCAAATTTAAAATTATATTTTAACACATTCAAATATTGTTTAAATAATTAGAAAAACAACTCATTTTAGGAAGTAATGGAAATAGATCCAAATATTTGAAGTAGTTATTTCTGGATGCTTATTTACAAGTAATTTAACATTTTTACACTATTTCCTCTATTTTTCAATTATTTATAAGAATTTCCTTTTGCACCATTACTTTTCTGTGAGATAAAATTTTATTTTACCATTAAATTGTAATATATGCAAAAATTAAAAGATATCTGATAAAAAAGGGTAAATATGGGACAGCAAAATTAATTGAAACATGTATCAAGTTAGAGTAGTAAGTAGTCTGCCTGGAAGTATTTCATAACAGCTAAAATGGACCACAGATTCACGCTTGGAGTTTCTGATAACAAGGTAAACATAGACACAAAAACTGTGCCTATATGATTGGCAGTATAAATAACTTAAAAGCAGACCAGATACTCAGAGGAAACACAATTGTCCCGCCTAATGGGGTTTAAGAGCCCTTCTGTTGGTCTTTAGAAAAGGATACTGAGTTATATTGTCAAAGGGAATAGACAGGAAGTTTTTGTTAAATAGACAGGGTTTCAAGTAAACCTTTAGTTTTGAATATTTGAATAGGTAGAGAGGAAACAGGAGAGACACATTCCAGACAGAGAAAACAACAGGAACAGAACTATAAAGTGATGAAGGAGCTCAACATGTTTTAGTCATTTAAGATGACAAAAGTACAGGGCTTATATTGGAAGGCTGTTGACAAAGTATGACATGCAAATGTCAAATATGAGGCTCCTGGGGAGAACTAGACGAAGATGGAGATAGGAAGAGATGTGTGGGGCCGGGGTGGCAAGCATTAGTATCTCTTGGGGAGAAAGAGTATGTATCAGTCCAGTATTTCAGAGAAGTGTTGATTA
This sequence comes from Homo sapiens, assembly GCF_000001405.40. NCBI lineage: Eukaryota > Metazoa > Chordata > Mammalia > Primates > Hominidae > Homo > Homo sapiens. The sequence goes on along the minus strand of NC_000004.12, from coordinate 156,303,437 downwards.
CACTTAGAAGAAGGGAAAAGACTCAAACAAAAATCAAAGTTGCATATTTAGAAAGAAAACACTGTAACAGCATAATAAGAGTTACTAATTCTTCACCTTTAGGTAGTGCCAGAAGTTTTGATTAACATGTCTTTAATCTTTACAACTTTTCAATTAGGCATTTTGATTCACATCGATAAGGGCATTATGTGGTTATTTGCTCAAGACTGTACAAGAGGTAAATGGTAAATGTAAGTAAAGTTACCTGTTCTAATAGTTCTAATATTTATACTCATTTCTCTCTGCACAGTATTATAGCTAAAAGTGCAGGCTCTGGATTCAGATACCTGGGTTTAAAAATTGGCTCATTAGCTATTAGTACTTCTTGGTATCTCCATTTTCTCGTCTTGTAAAAGAGTATGATAATATATCCCACAAGTCAATTTTGAAGATTAAATGATTCATTGCTCATAACATATTTGAAACGGTGCCTGGCACCTAGCACTTAGCTCACATTATGCTTTTCTGTCTCTTCTCACCTTGAGTCAAATGTAATGGAAAATATAAAAAAAAATTGTAATTCATTCATGAGAAAAAAATCTAATAATATTTTAAACCTTATAAATCTTAAGGGGAAAAATGAGTTATTCAAACCTAGTACCTAGTGCTTCTCCAAAATTAAATTGCGTAGATAATAAAATTTTTGGAAATCTCCTCAAAGTTTTATCTTAACATTCAGATAACTGGATCAGAGACACTCTATTATTCATAGAAGAGCATGCGGTATTCTCAAACATTATGTAAGATCCTAATAACATATTTGGAAATTACATTTATCTGTATTGAAATTTTCTTATTGACAAACTTCAGAAGGTGCTCCATCTTTATCCTCAATGGAAGTATTTATTCATCATTCTGCTGCAATTATGATATTGCTTACATACTAACTCAGTGTGGATTGGCCATTTTCTGCCTTAATCCCAGCACTTTGGGAGGTCGAGGCGGGCGGATCATGAGGTCAGGAGATCGAGACAATCCTGGCTAACACGGTGAAACTCCGTCTCCAATAAAAATACAAAAAATTAGCCAGGCGTGATGGCGGGCGCCTGTAGTCCCAGCTACTCCGAAGGCTGAGGCAGGAAAATGGCGTGAACCCGGCAGGCGGAGCTTGCAGCGAGCCGAGATCGCGCCACTGCACTCCAGCCTGGGCGACAGAGCGAGACTGCATCTCAAAAAAAACAAAACAAAAAAAATACATTTTATAACGAAGACTAGCAGTTTTGAACATCATCTAAGTTTATAGTAAGACTTTTCTGAAAGGATATATATATATATATTTTTTTTTTTCTTCATATAGTTTTCACTCTCTATCCAAGCAATATACTGCAGTGCATTGAGCCTTTTTCAAATTATCATTCAACTACTCAAGCATGAGTCATTCAATGAGACTTTAAAAATCAAGTTTTCCTTTTATAATTTACTTGAAAAATCTCTGTATTGCAGAAAACAAAAACAAAAACAAACTACTCTGTTTCGGGACTCTACATGTTCTATTTAATTTCTAAGAGTGGTGGTGGCAGGGTAGGGAAAGCTTAAAATAATTCCACACTTTCTTATACATATTATATTTCAGGTTGAATTATCTGCTCGTCTGTAGTGGAGGGAAGAAACTAAGAACAACAACAACAAAAAAATACAAAAAAAAAATAGGTCTGATCTGACAGGCTGATTGCTTTGAAGAAAAGAAAATCCCCATTCAATAGAAATATAAGGAAACCTATGATGGAATGGTTTTGTTCGTACCAAATAAGTTATACTTCAGTATTTAATCTTTCATTTTAACTTTCTAACCACCAACTGGAACGAAAGGCTAAAAAGCTACGTGTAAATCTGTGTGAAGTTAGAAATATAAGAAATACAATAAACGGATAAAATTAGAGTTTTGTAACATACAGCATGCTTTTTGAATTTAGAAGTTTTAATGACTTTTTCTTGTTATATGTTTGGATTTCATGGATAGCATTTCAAAAGTAAATATAGACGTTATTCTAAGTAAGAGGGCAGTCACGCCAAGACACTTCATGATAAAACTTCTTAAAAGTAAAGAGAAAGAAGTAATCTTGAGCAGCAAGAAAAAACATACCTTACCTAAAAGGAAAAAACAAAACAATTCAAATGACAATGTGTTCTTTATCAGAAAACCTGGAGGCCAGAAAAAAAGTTACACAATGTTTTTGAAGTGCTGAAAGAAAAGAATTATCAACTCTGAATTTTATATCCAACAAAAATACCCTTTAGGAATGAAAGGGAGATTGAGGCAGTCTAAGTTGAAGGAAAACTAAGAGTTTATTGCCAGTAAACCTAAGGATGGCAAAATAAAGTTCTCTAGACAGAAAGGAAATAAAAGAAAGCACCTTAAAACATTAAGGAAGAATAATGATGGGCAGAGCAAATGTGAATACATTCTCCTTGTCTTCTTGAGTTTTCCCAACTATTTTTGAAAGAGCAAAAAGTATAGCATTGTATCAAGTGGAGGTCAATGTATGCCAAGGAATGTTTAAGACAATTATAAACAGTGGAGGATTAAGGAATTTAAAAGGAAGTGAAGTTTCTTTTTTCTTTCTTTCTCTTTTTTTTTCGAGACGGAGTCTCGCTCTTGTCACCCAGACTGGAGTGCAGTGGAGTGATCTCGGCTCACTGCAACCTCTGCCTCCCTCCTGGGTTCGAGCAATTCTCCTGCCTTGGCCTCCTGAGTAGCTGGGAGTTCAGGCACTCACCACCATGCCAGGCTAATTTTTGTATTTTCAGAAGAGACGGGGTTCACCATGTTTGCCAGGCTGGTCTCGAACTCCTGACTAAACGATCCACCCCCGTCAGCTTCCCAAAGTGCTGGGATTATATGCGTGAGCCACCACACCCGGCTGAAGTTTCTATACTTCATTTGAAGTGGTAAAATATTCACATCAGATCTTTGGGGTGATGGAATAGTTCAGAATCTTGATTCAGGTAGGATTTAAAAGAACTTTTTGTGTATTAAAGTGGCATAGAACTACAGTTGTTCCTTGGTATACACAGGGGATTAGGTTAGTTCCAGCCTGCGCTGCCCCCATACTAAAATCCATGCACACTCAAGTCCCACAAGCAGCTCTGCGAAAATACGGCTGTCTCTATGCATGGATTTCTTACCCCATGAATACTGTACTTTCTATCAGCCTTTGGTTGAAAAAAATCCACATGTAAGTGGACCCTTGCAGTTGAAACTCATGTCACTGAGGGTTAACTGTACACTTACACATTGAACCAACGTAAATTCCTGGTTTTTATATTGACTATAGTTATACAAGATATAAATACTGGGGGGATTCAGTGAGTGGTGTATGCACCCTCTATGTACTACCTTTGCAACTTCTGGTTAACCTGTATTTATTTCAAAATAAAAGGCTAAAACCCATATATATTTACACACACTTTGAAAACCACTGTCTCAAAGAATTTGTTTTGAAAAGACAACATTCTCATTGTTTCTATTTATAAAAATTCTTAATTTTAAATTTCCCAGTGGTGTAGACTCCATAAATATAAATTTTTAAAAAGAACCTTCATTCAAATAACTTTTTAGCCCAGCAATATGTCAATAAAATTGGTTACCAGGAGATGTCTGAGTTACCCTTCCAAATTGTTTTGTAATGGATGATCAAGCAAACATCAATCGAAGGAAAGAAAATTGTTCACATATAGGTAAAAACTAAACCAGTAAAACTACGATTCATTCTAAAAGGGAAAAAATGCTCTAATTCCAAAATATTAAAAATTAATGATGTGTTTGGTTGTTTAAAATTTTTATTTTGAAATAATTCTAGATTCACAGAAGACTGCAAAGCAATAGGCAGAAACGTGAGACACACTACAGCCTCTTCCGATGACAATCTCTTACATGACTATAGCACGCTATCACAACCAATGATACAACCGTAGGGGTTATTCAGATCTCAACAGTTATACGTGATCTTGTGTGTATGTGTGCGTGTCGCTCTATTCAATCTCATCACATCTAGCTTTGTATAACCATCTCCATGAAAAAGAGGAGAGGGGTGAAAAAATGGTTATGGCTATGTTACATAACATTTATAGGAAGGTCATTTGTTTGGACCGAACTCCTGCAATAGGCCCAACAGACCAAACCAAAATGGAGATACTCATCTTGGAGTTCCACATCACCAAGACAAAATGAAGTTGTTTATCTGAACTTCCAAGAAATCAGGAGAGAGAGAGGGAGAGTTGCCAAATCTCCAAACAGGTCAGTTTTTCCTGGCATGATAAAGAAGTGCCCCCTGCATTCACCTTTACAAAAACAGTCTCACTGTGAAATGACCAGTCTGATTTGTGTTCTCTGTTTCTGCTTTCTGCAGCCCTTTTTTCTGCCTATAAAGCCAACCTCTTCTGCTTGGCTCATCAGAATACTCATTCTATTTTATTGAGTGTTTCTCGACTCTCAAATTGCAAATAAAAGCCACTTGTTGAATTTTTTGTACTAAATTTGGTGCAATTTTTTTGACAGCTATAAAGGGTTAAGTAGAGGGGGTCTTGTGGTGCTGATACAGTTGACTGAACTGTTTTTTTTTTTTTATTTAAGTCATAGAATTTGTTTGTATTTAAAGTCTTTAAAACTTATTTAGAGTAAGGTTTATACTGTTGTCACTGATTTGAAATTCTCCATGGATAAAATCAGAATAAACAAGCAAGAAAACGGTGACTTTAAAGGAATAATTTATCAAAATCACAGCCTACCATTCTCTTTTCAGATTGTCTTACCATTTAAATTAAAGTATCTAGGGGGAAGAAGTATTTGACAACAAATAGAATTCAAATGGCCTCTTGTGTTTGTTAACCTTATTAATTGCTTTAACATCCAAGTGCCTGCATTTACTGGCATAGAAAGTTCCTGTTATTTATTGCCATTTATTGTGGAAGACTTTGTTCTTTGTGTTTTTCAGCTCTGTTATTCTTAAGAGCCAGGAACTCTGACAGCTGCTGCCAGGCCTGTGCAGTTTGTTTAAAACAATAGGGAAAATTGCCTAGCAACCTCACATCCAGCTTCTGGTACCCTCCTGGAGATCACATTCCACACACTCTGCTCATCTCCACATGCTCACAGGGGAAAACACACACACACATACAGAAACACATGCACATACTATAATCAAAACTAGCCTGATTTTCCCTTTTTCTAAAAGATATGTCCTTATTGTTCACAACTTATGCAATTCTCTAACATGCAGATCAGAGGTGGGTTGTTATAAACCCTGAAGAGATCACGAGGAGCTTTACACAAATGAATTAGTTCCCCCCTCCTCAAAGCTTCCTGTTACAGATTTACTATTTCAAGACATGACTATGCAGCTTCCCTTGCTAAAATTACAATAAAATATGCTCCTTACACTTTAATAAGTATATACTGCCCTATAATGGGCATTATATATGTTGTCAACGTTTGTCAATACTTGACAAAGTTGTGGGAAATGCAAGTTTATTCTGAGTCCGTTTCAGAACGTGGCAGAGGAATGAAACAACATTGTTTGAACGTTGGTAATAGCCAGGGTGTTAGGCTGCACCTATTTTATTTCCTTATCCTATATTCTTGTTTAAGATATTATTGAGAATTGTGAGTAGGACATTATACCAGAAAGTTAAAGGCATAACTTCAACTCCAAAGTTTTGTTTTGCTTTGCCTATGTGAATTGGTTTGAGAAATCACTTAATCTTTGTATCCCAGTATCTTCATCTGCAAAATAGAAACTTACACTAAATGACCACTAAGGTCTTCTCTCATCTAACATTCTGATACCAGTGGCCAAGGGGAGGTTCCTAGACATTGGTGGGACCTGGACTCCAGGAGGAGTCCCGCTCTTGACATGTCATGAGAATAAATTCAAGGATGCGTCAGAAAATAGTAAAAGTATGGAGATTTATTGTAAAGTGACACTCAAGAAAGGGGAGTGCAGGAATACTCAAGAGACAGACACACAAAAGGGGGTTTGGAGCTGCTACATTTATGTTTGTTTTTTTTTTTAATCCAAGAAGTGGAAAATTTATGAAGATTCCTGGAAAAAGATACAGATTTCTTGAAACTGTAGTGTCACCCATTTTTCCGCAAAATATGGGTGTTCCCAGAACTGTCATGACACTGGTGGGTATGAGATTTGTATGTTAATGAGCGTATAATGAGGTCCCATGTGAAACCTATGTCAAATCCAGCCCATGTTGGGTCGAGTCCATCTTAGCCAGCTTGGCCCACACTATTTTTCAGGGTTTTATCAGCCCTTAACTTCTGCAGCTATTTCAACAGTTTCCTTTTGCTAGTCATGTGAACCTGTTGCCTGGAATTTTCCATTCTCTTGTGACTACCCGGTATTATTTCTTTATCATTTTCATTACCTTATAAATGGCCTTGGTCTTCCAAGAGACTGTTTTATGTGAAAATTGAGGAGAAAGAAAAATGGTTATGGGAGATAGAGTTTTTCCCTTCTTTTAAACATACCATTAGTCCCAACATTGTTATCTGTAAAACTGGAAGAGAAGAGTAGGCCAGATGACCACAAACACTTATATAAGCCTAGTAAGATATCAGGGATGCAAATATGTACAACTATTCCATATGATGATAAAAGTTATATAGATGCATATAACATTGATAAAGTTATGGGAGGTGATTTAAGGTCAAAAACAGTAAGAGATAGAAACTCCAGTGGAGGGGTCAGCCTATGGACCAAATCCAGTCTGGTGCTTAAATTTCGTAAAGATAGATTTATTGTACTGTTAGGTTGGTGCAAAATAATTGTGGTTTTTGTCATTACTATTAATGGCAAAAACTGCAATTACTTTTGCATCAATCTAATATAACATGTCCATCATTTAAATATTATCTGTGGCTGCCATTCATACTACAACTGTAGAGTTAAGTAATTGCAACAGAGGCTGTCTGTCTCACAAAGATGAAATGCTTACTATTTGGCCTTTTATAGAAAAAAAGTTGGTTGATCCCTGCTGCAAGGTATGAAAAATGTTGCTATGTTTATTTAGGCTTGAAACTAATCAACTCAGCCAGGGTATGTGCATATCGATGAAAGAGAAAAATATATTAAATGTTCTAGATATACTATCATTTCAATATAGCAAATATTTAAAAAAAATTAGGATGGAATTTGATTAAAAAGATATGTTTATCATTAGTTTTTTTAAATGAATTAACTATTATTTTTAGGGTTTATCATGTATTTATAGTCACATACTCAAAAACTGTTTGGAAATGTCACAGTTACTTTATTTGAAATTTAACGTCTATTCAGTGGATGTTATCTAAACATTTGGAGGCTCTCCAAAAACAAACAGAAAAACAAACAAATAAAACACACTTACATTGAGGAAAATGTGGAATCCAAGGCCCTGGATTTCCTCCATATCATTGATATTGATAAGAGTCAGTGTCATGTTTGTAAATCATGACTGTAAATACATCAGCCATGTAAAGCTGATCACTTTACATTGTGATGAACTTTACATGCACCTTACTAGGATTAGACCAGCACTGTATGATTGCATAATCATGTGTTATTCATTCTGAAGTGGCAAGCAGAATATTTAAAATGCAAGTACAGAAACATGTTAAATAAATGGAGAAGAGAACATTAATTTTTAGGAGGTTTCTTCTCAGTTGAATGCCTTCCACCCACCACCCTAAATAACAAAGAATAAAGGGATAGAGTTTTATCTTGCTAGAAACTTCCTAAACAGATAGATAATGTTTACTAAGTATTCTTAGTTATAGTTTAGGTTAATAGTTCATCTAGTTTAGGTTAATATTTCATCTCCTGATATGGTAGGAAGATTTCTATGATTTAACAGAAGGGCTCATCACTGAGTAACAGTTACAACACAGTTTAATTGACATGAAATTAGAGAACATTATTTGAAGCACGAAGAAGGGCAAGTATATCCATCTTTTTTCTACCAATGTTCAGTTATTACAGAATCTCCTGGGCTATCCAGTTACTGCCCAAATTACCTGTTACCATGATAAATTACATTTCAATACAAGATGACCACAAGAATATGGTGAGGAACTGGTGCAAAGAGAGAAGAATGGTGAAAGAAGAATTCAAAGTGAAGGAGAATGGTTAGATTGGTGGGAGGACATGGAGTTAGAACAACAGAAGAATTAAGGAAAGAAAGTAATTACAGTTTGTGTGTGATGATGGTACCTCACTTTGGTATTCAATTACCACCTGGCGTCTGCTATGCAAAGAGTTGTTTAATCAGCTATAACTGTTTATGCTTTGGTATTGACTCAAGTCACATATGCTTTTTATCTGCTGCTAAATATTGAAATTACTTTTGTAACTGTAGATATCCTCAAATCTGATCTCCAATTGCTGTTGAAATTTGGTCAACATAATTTCCATGATGGTGAACACTTACTACTCCATTTTCCTATTAGGTCTTGTTTTCTCCTTTACTCATAATTGTCAACTCACCTGGTGACTGGTGCCCTGAATTTCATGTCCTTTTGATCTTGAATCTGCCACCTGTCTAGTTTTGATTCTACCCAGCTGCTCATATTCAGGCACACTGCCTTCCATGTTTTCCTTTTGCTGCCATCTACTGGAAAACCAATTACTTTATCTCAGACCCTCACTGACAACTTGCTTGAAACTATTTTGTTCCCCATACTTAATGCATTGCGTCAGCTAGAGCTGGGTTAGTTTTCCCGGAAGCCAGCATACCCAAGCTGGTAGATCTGCTCCCATATCTAAGCTGTCTAATGATGCTGCAAGTAGCTAGGGACAAAAATACTAGAAGGCTTGAAATGAAATGGCCATAAAAATGAGACGGTAAAATAGTTTTTTTCTTTCTGTCAATTTTACTGAACATGTTTTTTTTTTTTTAATGTACACATTTTGCCACATTCCCAGGGACCTGCTATCTGGTTACAGAATGCTTACTAACATTAGGCTCTTATTAGCGAGGAGGTCGGTTTCCATGTAGAGTTTATATAAAAGAAGCAAGTTAACATTGGCATTGGAGATAGACAGACTTAACATTTAACTCTAACATCAACATTAATAAGCAGTATTAATGAGGAATAATTAGGTATTTCTAAGTCTCAGTTTCTTATCTTTAAAGTTGTGGTTATATTACTGTCTAATAAAATTTGTGATAGAATATTTAGGTCAAATTATGTTAAAGCAAAATGAAACCATCCCCTTCATCTTTTTCTAGACATAGTTCTGGTCTATGACATCATCCCTGTATTTATCTCTCTTTCCAGCTTAGGCAAATTCTTTGTCTATAGGGAATGATGATTCATGTATGTCATGGCCTAACTGGACACAAGCCAAAGGAAAAAACAGAATCTACAAGTAAAATGGAAAAGGCTCTCAGGTTCTTTAGTACAGACAGAATAATCATGTCATTTTTTTAAACCATTAATATGCAATTTACGAGAACTTGCATTTCAGTGATTTATACTATACCTCCAGGTTTTGATTTTAAGCTTTAAAAAGCCATGTTTAAATCATCAGAAGAGACATAGCTGATCAAGTTGAAAGAAGCCAGTTTCTAAGAAAAGCTCATTAATGGACTCTAAACCTAGTGACATTTGTCAGCAATGTTGTTCTTTCTATTCCTTTGGCAAACACAGTGCTAAAAGTGCTTGATGATAATTATAGAATACAGCTCTAATTGAAAAAGAAATGCTTGAATATTTGAATGGTTACTGGTACTCTTATCCTATCTATGCCTCCATGAAAAATCCTGTTGAACATTTGCCAACTTGAATCAGGACCCACTTCATGTGGAGTAGATTAATTTACCCTTACAATCCCCATGCATTAATAAACTTGGTCAACAAAAATGGCAAGGTGGCAACTGTAATGATTTAGGCTCAGAATTTCTTGGATATTGTTTTTTGTCAATGTAAATAACTAGAATAAAGTTTAAATGCTGCAAATTAAGAAAATTCTTTTCATGATAAGGTTAATGCTCACCTTGAAATCTGATATTTTCAAAACATATCTGCACAATTATCTTATAATTATTCAAGTACATTATGAGGATATTTCATATCCTTCCAGTGAGAACAAGAGTTGAGAGAATTTATTGCAATGCGGTAAAGAAAGTGAAAAAATATTGATTTCTGAGTCTTTCAAATGCTTTTATCTTCACATCCCTTTATATTATTTAATCTCAGTGTCTCAGTCTGTTTGAGCTGCCATAACAAAATACCAGAGATTGGGTGGCTTAAGTGGCCGATATTTATTTCTCACAGTTCTGAGGCTGGAAGTCCAAGAACAAGGTGCCAGCTGTCTCAGGTCCTGGTGAGTGCTCTCTCTCTCTGACTTGCAGATGGTGGCCCTTCTTGCTATGTCTTCACAGGGCAGGGAGAAAGACAAAGGGAGCTCTCTAGTGTCTCTTATAAGAACAAGCACATTAGGCCAGGCATGGTGGCTCACGCCTGTAATCCTAGCACTTTGGGAGGGTGAAGTGGGCGGATCACCTGAGGTTGGGAGTTCGAGACCAGCCTGACCAACATGGAGAAACCCCAGCTCTACGAAAAATACAAAATTAGCTGAGTGTGGTGGCGCATGCCTGTAATCCTAGCTACCCGGGAGGCTGAGGCAGGAGAGTCGCTTGAACCCAGGAGGCAGAGGTTGCAGTGAGCCAAGATCGAGTCACTGCACCCCAGCCTGAGCAACAAGAGTGAAACTCCATCTCAAAAAGAAAAAAAAAAAAAAAGAACAAGCACATTAATTCTATTGGAGCGGAGCAGGGCTGCACCCTTAGGACTTTGTGTAACTTTAATCACCTCTTAAAGGTCCTGTCTCCAAAGATAGTAATATTTGGGGTTAGGGCTTTCACACAGAGTGGGATACCTTGACCATAACACAAAACTCAGAGAAAAACATTGTGCCAGTAACAAATGACTTTTTTCTAAAATGTTAGAAATTTGTTTCCTGGAAAAATAAAATAAAATGTAAGGAAATAACTAAAAATCAATATGTTAAAAATTATATGAGGAAATTTATGTGCTTTGATATATCCACATTATCAAGCAGTGTTTTCAATGCTTTTTATATCATTTTAGGAGAAAGAGAACACTCAAAATATACGTAAGGATAATCTAAGAATATTTAAATTAAGACATTTGAAATTAAGCCGGTAGCAACTAAGAAGTAGGGAGGCAGACATAGATTGTCATAATTTCAAGATATCAACAGATATGAATAGAAGGCTTATTTGAAATTAACAGAACTTAAATTTCTTTATTATTAGCACAGAAATTTCACATATGTTATCTAATTTCATCCCACAACATTTCTCTGAAAATAAAACATTTCAAGTAGAAGTATTATTTCCTACTCTCTTGAGGAAAGTATAGTCTAAAATGATCATGAATTTGTTAAAGTTCCATTAATATGTGGAAACTTGTCAAATCATTCGGGTAACTATTTAAGTAAGGCTTCTAACTGTAAACACTATCAACTTTTGTGCTGCATTTTGTTAAGAACATTAAGATTATTAGTGGGAAAAACCAGCTAAGTAAATTTCAATCAAATTAAGGATATTCACTCAGCTAGCTACCGAATTATTCTTAAACTGTTAATTTTATCCTGTGTGTTGTCACTAAGACCTCTTCTCCTCTCCTTACTTTTTTTGTTCTTACTCTAATTCCTCTGATTGTTAACTGAAAAGAACATTTTCCTCCTCAAAGGGAAATAGAGAAAATCTGTAAGCTATTTTATTTGCTTTTAGTCATAAATTACTCGTGTGTGTGACTTACTATCAATGATCTTTCTTTAAGGAATGCTGTGCATCTGAAGTACTGCTATAGTTCCCTGGAATTACTCCATAAATGACTCTTTCTGGTGCTTACAACCTCTTATCTCCACAGCACTCATCACTCAGTGCCAGGGCAGTGGATTTGCACCAATATGATTTGCAACTATGAACAGAACCCTCTTTGTTTCTGTTTAAATAATTACATCAATCTTGTCCTGCCTGTGCATTGGAATGAGTTTTAACATAAAGATGGAGAGATTCTACATGCAATTTGAAAATAATGCTGGCAAATAGCTTTGTGACTTATTGTTTAAACCAAGCACACATTTGTTTAAGATATTTAATTAAGCCAAAGAATAGCCATGTTGTAGAATTAGGGGAAAAAAAGGCAAAATATATTTGTACACATTCAAAAGTCTGAAACATAACATTTTATAAATATGTATTCCTTTAACTTGGTTTCACCATTAAATGAATCTTCTTTTAGGAACACAATGCTTGTCTTGGCTCCATTAAAATTCATTCCTAGAGTACGAGTAAAGGAGTTTTTCCCACTATAAGTCGCAGGCTTCTTCCAGCTTAACCTAATAAAAATAATAACTTATTTCTGTTGTAAAGAGCCACTGCCCATAGTTGTGGTCAGAGATTTGAGGATGGGAGGTTGTTAACAAAAGTACAGAAGATCCTTAGGTATTCTCAGTTACAAGTACAAGAGAAATGAACCAATGAATTTATGTGGAGAGGGTTCCATAAGGCTACTCCTATTAAGCAATTGAGCATAAGAAATTAGTAGACAGCATTAAATTATGCCACAAACTTTTTCTTAAAGCAAAAGCGCTATGATAAAGAGGAGACATGTTGTATAATGAAAGGTTAAAACCAAAGCAAGTGCATAAAATCTAAATTTTTTCATCTTTCCTAATAAAGTTAACAATTTTTTCTTAGTGTTAAAATATACTGTGGTAAGAAATAAATGATGGAGAGTTGGGACTAGAGCAGGAAGAAAGCTGACCTAACTTGGACAATGGCCGAATAGGAACAGCTCCGGTATACAGCTCCCAGCGTGAGTGACGCAGAAGACGGGTGATTTCTGCATTTCCATCTGAGGTACCGGGTTCATCTCACTAGGGAGTGCCAGAGAGTGGGCGCAGGTCAGTGGGTGCACGCACCGTGCGCGAGCCGAAGCAGGGCGAGGCACTGCCTCACTTGGGAAGTGCAAGGGTCAGGGAGTTCCCTTTCCGAGTCAAAGAAAGGGGTGACGGACGCACCTGGAAAATCAGGTCACTCCCACCCGAATATTGCGCTTTTCGGACTGGCTTAAAAAACGGCGCATCACGAGATTATATCCCGCACCTGGCTCGGAGGGTTCTACGCCCACGGAGTCTCGCTGATTCCTAGCACAGCAGTCTGAGATCAAACTGCAAGGCGGCAGCGAGGCTGGGGGAGGGGCGCCGGCCATTGCCCAGGCTTGCTTAGGTAAAAAAAGCAGCCTGGAAGCTCGAACTGGGTGGAGCCCACCACAGCTCAAGGAGGCCTGCCTGCCTCTGTAGGCTCCACCTCTGGGGGCAGGGCACAGACAAACAAAAAGACAGCAGTAACCTCTGCAGACTTAAATGTCCCTGTCTGACAGCTTTGAAGAGAGCAGTGGTTCTCCCAGCAGGCAGCTGGAGATCTGAGAATGGGCAGACTGCCTCCTCAAGTGGGTCCCTGACCCCTGACCCCCGAGCAGTGTAACTGGGAGGCACCCCCCAGCAGGGGCACACTGACACCTCACACAGCAGGGTACTCCAACAGACCTGCAGCTGAGGGTCCTGTCTGTTAGAAGGAAAACTAACAAACAGAAAGGACATCCACACCAAAAACCCATCTGTACATCACCATCATCAAAGACCAAAAGTAGATAAAACCACAAAGATGGGGAAAAAACAGAACAGAAGAACTGGAAACTCTAAAACGCAGAGCGTCTCTCCTCCTCCAAAGGAACGCAGTTCCTCACCAGCAACGGAACAAAGCTGGATGGAGAATGACTTTGACGAGCTGAGAGAAGAAGGCTTCAGACAATCAAATTACTCTGAGCTACGGGAAGACATTCAAACCAAAGGCAAAGAAGTTGAAAACTTTGAAAAAAATTTAGAAGAATGTATAACTAGAATAACCAATACAGAGAAGTGCTTAAAGGAGCTGATGGAGCTGAAAACCAAGGCTCGAGAACTACGTGAAGAATGCAGAAGCCTCAGGAGCCGATGCAATCAACTGGAAGAAAGGGTATCAGCAATAGAAGATGAAATGAATGAAATGAAGCAAGAAGGGAAGTTTGGAGAAAAAAGAATAAAAAGAAATGAGCAAAGCCTCCAAGAAATATGGGACTATGTGAAAAGACCAAATCTATGTCTGATTGGTGTACCTGAAAGTGATGGAGAGAATGGAACTAAGTTGGAAAACACTCTGCAGGATATTATCCAGAAGAACTTCCCCAATCTAGTAAGTCAGGCCAACGTTCAGATTCAGGAAATACAGAGAATGCCACAAAGATACTCCTCGAGAAGAGCAACTCCAAGACACATCATTGTCAGATTCACCAAAGTTGAAATGAAGGAAAAAATGTTAAGGGCAGCCAGAGAGAAAGGTCGGGTTACCCTCAAAGGGAAGCCCATAAGACTAACAGCGGATCTCTCGGCAGAAACCCTACAAGCCAGAAGAGAGTGGGGGCCAATATTCAACATTCTTAAAGAAAAGAATTTTCAACCCAGAGTTTCATATCCAGCCAAAATAAGCTTCATAAGTGAAGGAGAAATAAAATACTTTACAGACAAGCAAATGCTGAGAGATTTTGTCACCACCAGGCCTGCCCTAAAAGAGCTCCTGAAGGAAGTGCTAAACATGGAAAGGAACAACTAGTACCAGCCGCTGCAAAATCATGCCAAAATGTAAAGACCATCGAGACTAGGAAGAAACTGCATCAACTAACGAGCAAAATCACCAGCTAACATCATAATGACAGGATCAAATTCACGCATAACAATATTAACTTTAAATGTAAATGGACTAAACGCTCCAATTAAAAGACACAGACTGGCAAATTGGATAAAGAGTCAAGACCCATCAGTGTGCTGTATTCAGGAAACCCATCTCACGTGCAGAGACACACATAGGCTGAAAATAAAAGGATGGAGGAAGATCTACCAAGCAAATGGAAAACAAAAAAAGGCAGGGGTTGCAATCCTAGTCTCTGATAAAACAGACTTTAAACCAACAAAGATCAAAAGAGACAAAGAAGGCCATTACATAATGGTAAAGGGATCCATTCAACAAGAAGAGCTAACTATCCTAAATATATATGCACCCAATACAGGAGCACCCAGATTCGTAAAGCAAGTCCTGAGTGACCTACAAAGAGACTTAGACTCCCACACATTAATAATGGGAGACTTTAACACCCCACTGTCAACATTAGATAGATCAACGAGACAGAAAGTCAACAAGGATACCCAGGAATTGAACTCAGCTCTGCACCAAGCGGACCTAATAGACATCTACAGAACTCTCCACCCCAAATCAACAGAATACACATTTTTTTCAGCACCACACCACACCTATTCCAAAAATGACCACATACTTGGAAGTAAAGCACTCCTCAGCAAATGTAAAAGAACAGAGATTAAAACAAACTATCTCTCAGACCACAGTGCAATCAAACTAGAACTCAGGATTAAGAATCTCGCTCAAAACCACTCAACTACATGGAAACTGAACAACCTGCTCCTGAATGACTACTGGATACATAACGAAATGAAGGCAGAAATAAAGATGTTCTTTGAAACCAACGAGAACAAAGACACAACATACCAGAATCTCTGGGATGCATTCAAAGCAGTGTGTAGAGGGAAATTTATAGCAATAAATGCCCACAAGAGAAAGCAGGAAAGATCCAAAATTGACACCCTAACATCACAATTAAAAGAACTAGAAAAGCAAGAGCAAACACATTCAAAAGCTAGCAGAAGGCAAGAAATAACTAAAATCAGAGCAGAACTGAAGGAAATAGAGACACAAGATCCCTTCAAAAAATTAATGAATCCAGGAGCTGGTTTTTTGAAAGGATCAACAAAATTGATAGACCACTAGCAAGACTAATAAAGAAAAAAAGAGAGAAGAATCAAATAGACACAATAAAAAATGATAAAGGGGATATCACCACCGATCCCACAGAAATACAAACTACCATCAGAGAATACTATAAACACCTCTATGCAAATAAACTAGAAAATCTAGAAGAAATGGATAAATTCCTCGACACATACACTCTCCCAAGACTAAACCAGGAAGAAGTTGAATCTCTGAATAGACCAATAACAGGCTCTGAAATTGAGGCAATAATCAATAGCTTACCAACCAAAAAGAGTCCAGGACTAGATGGATTCACAGCCGAATTCTACCAGAGGTACAAGGAGGAACTGGTACCATTCCTTCTGAAACTATTCCAATCAATAGAAAAAGAGGGAATCCTCCCTAACTCATTTTATGAGGCCAGCATCATTCTGATACCAAAGCCGGGCAGAGACACAACCAAAAAAGAGAATTTTAGACCAATATCCTTGATGAACATTGATGCAAAAATCCTCAATAAAATACTGGCAAAATGAATCCAGCAGCACATCAAAAAGCTTATCTACCATGATCAAGTGGCCTTCATCCCTGGGATGCAAGGCTGGTTCAATATACGCAAATCAATAAATGTAATCCAGCATATAAACAGAGCCAAAGACAAAAACCACATGATTATCTCAATAGATGCAGAAAAAGCCTTTGACAAAATTCAACAACGCTTCATGCTAAAAACTCTCAATAAATTAGGTATTGATGGGACGTATTTCAAAATAATAAGAGCTATCTATGACAAACCCACAGCCAATATCATACTGAATGGGCAAAAACTGGAAGCATTCCCTTTGAAAACTGGCACAAGACAGGGATGCCCTCTCTCACCACTCCTATTCAACATAGTGTTGGAAGTCCTGGCCAGGGCAATTAGGCAGGAGAAGGAAATAAAGGGTATTCAATTAGGATAAGAGGAAGTCAAATTGTCCCTGTTTGCAGACGACATGATTGTATATCTAGAAAACCCCATTGTCTCAGCCCAAAATCTCCTTAAGCTGATAAGCAACTTCAGCAAAGTCTCAGGATACAAAATCAATGTACAAAAATCACAAGCATTCTTATACACCAACAACAGACAAAGAGAGAGCCAAATCATGAGTGAACTCCCATTCACAGTTGCTTCAAAGAGAATAAAATACCTAGGAATCCAACTTACAAGGGATGTGAAGGACCTCTTCAAGGAGAACTACAAGCCACTGCTCAAGGAAATAAAAGAGGATACAAACAAATGGAAGAACATTCCATGCTCATGGGTAGGAAGAATCAATATCGTGAAAATGGCCATACTGCCCAAGGTAATTTACAGATTCAATGCCATCCCCATCAAGCTACCAATGACTTTCTTCACAGAATTGGAAAAAACTACTTTAAAGTTCATATGGAACCAAAAAAGAGCCTGCATCGCCATGGCAGTCCTAAGCCAAAAGAACAAAGCTGGAGGCATCATGCTACCTGACTTCAAACTATACTACAAGGCTACAGTAACCAAAACAGCATGGTACTGGTACCAAAACAGCATGGTACTGGTACCAAAACAGAGATATAGATCAATGGAACAGAACAGAGCCCTCAGAAATAACACCGCATATCTACAACTATCTGATCTTTGACAAACCTGAGAAAAACAAGAAATGGGGAAAGGATTCCCTATTTAATAAATGGTGCTGGGAAAACTGGCTAGCCATATGTAGAAAGATGAAACTGGATCCCTTCCTTACACCTTATACAAAAATCAATTCAAGATGGATTAAAGACTTAAACGTTAGACCTAAAACCATAAAAACCCTAGAAGAAAACCTAGGCATTACCATTCAGGACATAGGCATGGGCAAGGACTTTATGTATAAAACACCAAAAGCAATGGCAACAAAAGCCAAAATTGACAAATGGGTTCTAATTAAACTAAAGAGCTTCTGCGTAGCAAAAGAAACTACCATCAGAGTGAACAAGCCACCTACAAAATGGGAGAAAATTTTCGCAACCTACTCATCTGACAAAGGGCTAATATGCAGAATCTACAATGAACTCAAACAAATTTACAAGAAAAAAACAAACAACCCCATCAAAAAGTGGGCGAAGGACATGAACAGACACTTCTCAAAAAAGACATTTATGCAGCCAAAAAACACATGAAAAAATGCTCATCATCACTGGCCATCAGAGAAATGCAAATCAAAACCACAATGAGATACCATCTCACACCAGTTAGAATGGCAATCATTAAAAAGTCAGGAAACAACAGGTGCTGGAGAGGATGTGGAGAAATAGGAACACTTTTACACTGTTGGTGGGACTGTAAACTAGTTCAACCATTGTGGAAGTCAGTGTGGCGATTCCTCAGGGATCTAGAACTAGAAATACCATTTGACCCAGCCATCCCGTTACTGGGTATATACCCAAAGGACTATAAATCATGCTGCTATAAAGACACATGCACACGTATGTTTATTGCGGCACTATTCACAATAGCAAAGACTTGGAACCAACCCAAATGTCCAACAATGATAGACTGGATTAAGAAAATGTGGCACATATACACCATGGAATACTATGCAGCCATAAAAAATGATGAGTTCATGTCCTTTGTAGGGACATGGATGAAATTGGAAATCATCATTCTCAGTAAACTATCGCAGGAACAAAAAACCAACCACCGCATATTCTCACTCATAGGTGGGAATTGAACAATGAGATCACATGGACACAGGAAGGGGAATATCACACTCTGGGGACTGTGGTGGGGTGGGGGGAGGGGGGAGGGATAGCATTGGGAGATACACCTAATGCTAGATGACGAGTTAGTGGGTGCAGCGCACCAGCATGGCACATGTATACATATGTAACTAACGTGCACAATGTGCACATGTACCCTAAAACATAAAGCATAATTAAAAAAAAAGTAAAAAAAAAAAAAAAAGAAAGAAATGATGAACCTATGTAAGTATTAAGTCTTTGTCTACTTGAAAAAACCTTACAGAAAATAATTTTTAAAATTAGATCATTTCTTTTCAACTATCTTACTAAATTCAACTTTTAATGATTTAGTTAAGAAATGTTTAAAACAGCGCAAATTATAGAATATGAAAAAAATAAACTGAGTGAGGGTAGGGGAGCATTTTCTGAATAATAGATGAATTACACCACACAAGTAAATACAGAAAAGTTGGTTGAGATCCTGTTGGCATTTTAGGCACCTTAAAGTCATTTGAAGGGAATGTCAATGTGAAAATAATAAATACAATAATAAGATGGTAAAATCATTGGTTTGACTTCCTGCTCAGTGGAAGTGTGAAAATCGGACCTTGCAGGCAGCAAATGAGAAAGGGATTGATTTGGGCCTTTGAAGTGAAATAGTATCTCCAGACAAGTGTGCCATGGAAGCCACAGTGCCTAGGTTGGGCTCAGTAAAGCATTGTGGATAAGGATATACATTATGAGAAGGATCTAGAAAAGTTAATATTGGAATATTTGAGCCATGGCTCACAGGCAAGGACCTACCATCTGGAGAACAGAATGATACAATGGTAGGTGCCAAGGAAAAAGTTGAAAGGAAATGGAGAAAATATAAAAATATTTCTGGGCCCAACAAGTAGGCAGAGACTCGATCATGGAAAATAACAGTTTGTTTAAAAACTGTCAAAACTTATTTGGTAAAAAGTTAAACTATGAAGGAAAAAGTGTCCAAGTACCAGCCATTAATACATTATGGTTAATTAAAGAAAGATGTGCTTCCATAAAAATCCCATTGGTTATCTTGTAATATGCATTTAACATTACATTTACTTTAAGAATATATTTACTATACTATTTTATATTGAATACCTAGTAATTGAATTGCTCCTTTGTTGTGTGGTGCCATCATAATGTTTCATCTTTCTTGAAAATAGAGTAGTTACATTTGAAATAAAAATAACACCCCAGAAAAAAATGAATATGGTCAGAGCTAAGTGAATAAAGCTAGCTAGACCATTTCACATGGAGGTTCACTGAAGCTGAGTTTTCTTTTTTTTTTTTTTTTTTTTTTGAGATGGAGTCTGGCTCTGTCGCCCAGGTTGGAGTGCAGTGGCGCAATCTTGGCTCACTGCAAGCTCCGCCTCCCGGGTTCACGCCATTCTCCTGACTCAGCCTCCGGAGTAGCTGGGACTACAGGCGCCCGCCACTACGCCTGGCTAATTTTTTGTATTTTTAGTAGAGACGGGGTTTCACCATGTTAGCCAGGATGGTCTCGATCTCCTGACCTCGTGATCCGTCCGCCTCGGCCTCCCGAAGTGCTGGGATTACAGGCGTGGGCCACCGCGCCCAGCCTGAACTTGAGTTTTCTCTGTTGCTTGCCGGACTAATTTTGTAATCTGTTCATGGCAGCGAGGTGGTCTCTAAGCAAAAGTTTCACATTCCTTTCTAATGGGTTAGCTTTCCAGCCTATAGCAATATCAGATGTCTTTTAAATCAAGCAAAGATAAGCAATATGTTAGAGAATATTTCCTATAATATCTTGGGTTTAGCATAGATTTAGTCTTTTTATCTTTTGATAACTCCTTTGATAACTGGGAGCAGTTAATGATACTGCCACTGTTTCTGCCCTAATATTCTGAATGAAAAAAATCTTTAAAAATTTGAAAATAAATTATTTAAAGCACTAGATTATTACAATATTGATGCTCATTTGAGTCTTAAATGTGACATTAATGGTTACTTCAAAATTATTTGAGTTGTTTAACTTAAAGAAGTTGAATGTTCTACCATTAAATATATTTTTTTGAATCTCTACTTCTTAAGAACAGTCCTATATGTGCTGGTTTACTTTTCTTTTTATTACAAAAAATTGTTTTTTCTTGAAAATTTTGCCTCATTTAAAAATTTATTTCTTTAAGGAATTTATTCTTACTAACATGAGAGTTACTTAATCACTCGTGTGTATAATCTACTTCCTTACAAAATAAAATGACAAACTCTGTGGTGGTTTCCATTATCCCTGGCTATGTAGTATGCTGATATTATGTACTAGAATTAAAAGATAAGGAAAAAAAAATAAGAAAATATGTGTGAGTGTGTCCATATAAACATACAAGTTCCCAAAAGCTAAACAATGGGCTTGATTATTTTTCCCCCAGTCTTGACTGAATCAATATCATCCAATTGACTGTTCGAGGAGGTAAACTTGATGTCAAACCATAGTCAATAATCAATTTGGCTCCATGACGCAGTCAAATCTGACTTGGGTTCAGATTATGTCCACTGGTTTATAAGGTCCACTCCTACTGCACAATATGTTAACAAAATCTAAGCCTATGTGAAAGTTACCAGAATAAAAATTGAGTCACTTGTGTTTAAAATATCCTGGCAAATAGATCCGTGAAAGGCCATGAAGAAAGGATTCTCATGCATGATTGATAACAAAAACTATCACAGAAAATTCTTCAAAAACCACAACTGTATTAGTCTGTTCTCACGCTGCTAATAAAGACAAACCAAAGACTGGGTAATATAATTTACAAAGGAAAAATGTTTAATTGACTCACAGTTCCACATGGCTGGGGAAGCCTCACAATCATGGCAGAAGGTGAATGAGGAGCAAAGTTGCATCTCACATGGCATCAGGCAAAACAACTTGTGAAGGTGAACTCCCATTTATAAAACCATCAGATCTCCTGGGACTTACTCACTACCAGGAGAACAGTACGGGGGAAATTGCCCCCATTATTCAATTATCTCCACCAGGCCCCGCCCTTCACACGTGAGGATTATTACAATTCAAGGTGAGATTTAGGTGAGGACACAGCCAAACCGTATCAACAACGTTGCACAAAGGCCATCACAACCAAACACAAAATATACTTTGGCAAAACATCTGCCCAACAATTGTTTGTTCAAACATGAATTGGTGCCAGCCTTGTTATTGGTCCTTACAGCCAAGAATAATCATCTCAAAACAGTTATGTTACCCTCCTCATTTTTTCCTTTAAAAACTTTTATCTTGCTTTACCTCCCTGAACATGCATATAGTTTACTATGAAATACATATCTCCATTGCAATACCTTATTCTTTGAATAAATATCATTTTCTTTTAGGGAGCCTCTCTCTGTTATTTAGGTTGACACCTAAAAGATAGTTCATCCCAATAAGACAGTGGTACAAATTTTCTTTCTCCATACTACATAGTATTTTTTTACTGCCTTTGCAATATTTTATGCATAATGAATTTTTATATCTCCAGTACTCGTGTTAATAGTTACAGATCCTTCGTTAGTTGAATTTGGAGTAACTCCAAGCTACTGAAGGTTTGGGTTCTATGGTGGATCTTACATAATCTAAGAGCTCTATCTTCAAGTGCTAGTACTGTAGTCATTAGAGTTGTTTACCAATATTCTGTTCTCTAAATTTTGGAGCACCTGGCAGAATTGCGTTTCTTCACGTTTGTAGATGTGGTTTGCTACAATTTGTTCTGGCCAGTGAAATGCGAGCACAAGTCAACTGTCTTAAAACTGTCAACAAAAGTTTTAAGAGCCAGCTTGTTCTTCACTGTGTTCCCTTTTCTCTCTGTCTCCATGACTATCAGTGTCTCATCAGCTTGAGTCCTGCAATGAAGACAACAGATGTAGAGCAGACAAGCAGCATGAGTGAAACTTAAATTTATTATGTGTAATCCACTGAGATTCAGGGTTATAATCTCAGGACCTGGCTCTCCTGACTGTTGGACTCAAACAACTAAGATTTGAAGTTTATTTCCAGATTCAGAAAAGGTTTATAGTAGAAAAATATGATAGTGATATAAACAGCTTTTTTTAAAACAAGAAAACGAGGTTTTCCTGAAAAGGTGTCTCCTCTGGAAACAGTACTTTCTATATTGACGTGTTCATAACCAGATACAGTTCAGTCATAGAAATTGCCTATAACCGAACACAGTCCTTCTTAATAATGGCAACTTCATATGATTTAAACTAGTAAGTGTCCTAATGATAATCACATCATCTTCGTGTATCCAAGAGAACCACACATTGTGTTTTAGTGAGCTAAATGTTAAATATAAATAAGATTACTCACATTTAGTATTTTCTTAGAGTTTAATTTCATTTCATAAATGCCTTATGTTGAGGCCATTTAAAAGTTAGGCAAAACAACACAGTGTGATTAGAAAACATTTGCCTTTTGTAGCCGTGATGTAACGCATTTTTTAAAGCTTTTGTTTTTTAACATGTTAACTGTTGGTTGCTGCAGGACACATTCTCAAGGGTAAAGACAGCATTTATTACACTCAAAATACTGTGACTGAGGCTATTATGTTGGTTTTGACAGTTTTGCCAATGAAAAATAAGATAATTAGCCAATATGGCTTAGTATATTAAAGAGAGATAGCAAAATGATTAAAATATAATTTTTCATTTTCAGAATGAGATTATTTCCAGTAAAACAAAGCACATATTTTACTATTACTCAGCTTTTCAGTTATTGAAATAATATTTCATTAAGGACAACTCAAATCTACCATGCTGAAACAGCTTACAAGAGCTGTTTCAAGAGGGGCAGTCAAAATCATTTCATTAGTCTACTACCCCTTTGCTTCTAAACTATACCAAAGTAAAGTAAATTTAAGGCTCTATTTCCATACGCTTTCTAAAAAAGTTAAAAAATTACTTATAAAACTTTAGAATTCCCAGATGTAAAATCTCATAAAGCTCTTCGGATATCAAATGTTTTAGCATTTACCAAACATTTTGATGAGTTAAGTGTAAATGAATCAGTAACATAAGGATTAAATTCCTTCACAAATACACAAGAGCTGAAAAAATTAGGAAAGGGTTCCTTGGCAGTATTCAGTTGGGTTTTGTCACATCCAAAGGGTTTTAAAACTGTGTTTTGAAGTTCTCCTGAAACCAAAACCTCACTATATTTTTAAAAAATTTTTTGATCATCATTTGTTACTAATCCAAATTTAATATTGTTTTCAAGTTCTATTGGTGGTAAACACATAAAAAGTGGCTCAGACCAGAACCACATATTCACTTTTATAAATAATTTTTATAGCATTAAGAACTTCATTACACCATTTTCCTACAATGTTTCCTAGAGTTATAAAAATTAAAAGCAGAATTTCAGTAAATAATAAAAACCAAAATAGACAACAAATAATCTAACTCCACAGAGTCCTATATTTTCTCAGTTTATAGCACTCTTGTATAATATCTAAGTAACATTTTCAATGTCCCCAGGACAAAAATCTCTAACCATTTCATTTATCAAGTGGTTAGGGCTACACAACTTAATAATCATTAATACCCCAACAACCTAGTAGACATTTGAAAAAAATGCTATACATCAATGAAAAGAAAAATTAATATTTCTATTTTACTTTTAATCAACACTTGATAATGGGTTATATGTATCAGTCAGGTACTGCACAACTTCTTAATCTTTGAAATCTAATTAGACAATGTCAACCTTATTTCCTATTTCATGCTGATTTTCTAACAATATTTGGCTTTTGTTGGAGATAATAATGGAAATTCTAAGCTCAAAAAGATATAAGATCATTGAGAGGACTGTGTCATAATCTAATTTTAGAACTTTAAACTATCTTGAGCTAGTAGTTTAGATAATGTCCAAGAGATGTTTAATGTTTCTGTGTTTCTTTGAAAATTTAAAATATACCTTGGCACTTGTGTGAGTTCACTGTGGCACCCCAGGGTGTCTCAGTAAACAGTTAGGGAACTGTGGGTTTTATCAATTGCATTAACTTTAAGTTACTAAACATTAAATAAAAAATTTAGTTGCTCATTTACATTAGCCACATTTTGAAGGGTCAATAGCCACATCAAGTCATGCTACCATATTGGACAGCACAAATATAGATCTTTTCCATCAATATAGAAAGTTCTATCCAACAGCACCAGTCAAATTGACATGATTTGATAAATAAATATGATGTGGGATTTGGGAGAAAGACAATAGTCTAGGATGATGTTTGGCCCCAGTAACTAGAAAAACAGAGTATATTGATATTGGAAAAATGTGAGAAAAGCAGGTGTGGAGAGAATACCAGGACCTCAGTTTTGGAAATGTTAAATGTAATACACCCTTTAGGCATCTAAATAAAGATCTCCAACAGGCAATTAGATATATGAGACTAGATTCAAGGGAGGAGTCCAGGCTGGATAGACAAACCAAGTTTTACTATGTGCCAGGCACCTTTCCAATCTCTTGAATAACCCATTCAATTTTCACAAA
Source organism: Homo sapiens (assembly GCF_000001405.40). NCBI lineage: Eukaryota > Metazoa > Chordata > Mammalia > Primates > Hominidae > Homo > Homo sapiens. The sequence goes on along the minus strand of NC_000004.12, from coordinate 156,278,242 downwards.
AACCTTATAAGCTAAGTACTTAATCCTCATTTTATAGATGAAGAAATCAAGGCACAGAGAAAGATATTGCATATTAATAGGATGAAACCTGAATTGTGAGAAGCTGTCTCTTCCACTACAGGAAATAAATCTGTGTCTTAGTTTGGGCTGCTGGAATAAAATATTATAAACTGTGTGACTTAAAAAAGAAGAAGAAGAAATGTATTGCTTACATTTCTGGAGGCTGGGAAGTTCAAAATATGGCACCAACATATTCAATATCTCGTGAGGCCCCACTTCCTCAAAAAGCTCCTTCTTGCTGTGTTTTCACATTATAAAAGGAATGAGCAATCTCTTGCAGGTATAAGGGCGCTAATCCCATTAATGAGAGCTCCACCCTCATGATCTATTTACCTCCCAAGGGCCCCATCTCCTATACTATCACCTTAGGGGTAAAGATATCAACATAGGAATTTCTTAGGGGAGGGAGAGTCAGGACACAAACATTCAACCACAGTGGCAATTTGCAAAAATAAAGCCAAAGTAAAACAAGAATAAATGAGAGATGGGAAAAAAAAAAGGAGAGAAGAGAGATTCTGATTCTTTCAGCATTCTTCTTGATTCGGGGAGCTAATCCAAAGATTATTACTAACCAACTGTTGCAACAATAAAGTCTCTTTTTAGCTTAAGGAAATTGCAACCAAAAAATGTCTTAAATAACACAATCTATGAGCATTTTGTTTTAAATCTTAGCAATACCGTGTATGCATAAGTTATATAATATTTTATTTCATCTATGAGATAATTACTTCTAGAAATAATTTTAAAATGAAACCTGTTCTTTCTCCTAGCTTATGTTAAACCTAACCTTTAAAATATTTCCTAAGGAAATTCTTACCTTTTTTGTCTGTATTGTTATTTATTATGTATTATAATTAAAATCTTTATTTTTCTTACATAAACTTACTGAACTATAACCTAGATTTACAAAAGTGCATGAAGTGTTAGCCTACAGTTGACAAAGTGAAAATTTCTATTAGTTTACAGTTTCATAAAATGAACGTACTCATGTACGCAGCATAGACATGAAAAAGCAGAAGCCGTCCTCATACAATACAGTGCAATTATTATCCCTTCCACTCCCAAGGATAACTATTATCCTGAAATCAAACAACAGTAAGTTTCTCTTGCTAGTGTTTAAATTCTATGTAAATAGAATGATATAGCATACAGCCTTTTGTGTCTAGTTTCCTTTACTCAGCATATTGTTATATATGTTGTAGTTTGTGGATTCTTATACTACCAATTCCATTCCTATCACTGTCTCCCTATTCCTGTCCCAAAGCGGGGAAGGAATTAGAAGAAAAATGGGAACAAAACATGAATCACTGGTCCATACCGATTGGCACATGTTGCAAGTTCCTTCCTTAGGTCTCATAATCTTCATTGGCTCTCTGCATCTCTATCTGGACTTTTAGATCTGCCACCTGAGTCATTTATTTTTCGTGAAGAGTAACACTTGTTCTCAGCTGAGTAATTCTCTCATGTTGCTTACTGACAGTATAATTGTGGGGGCATAAGGGAGTCCACCAATCTCTTTTCACTGTGTACTGTCACCTTGCGGGCCTCCTGTGAATCTTATCGGGGTTTATTCCATTAGACAAAAACCAGGCTCACAAATGTCTTAAATAAAAGTCCTTAAGCTTCTCTTTATAATGTATTTTGTGTGACCGAATACTCCTCTGAGGAACTGCCATTGAACTTTCTGACAACTTGCCCAAAGATGTTACAGTCACACTCTCAGATTCATCTCTAGGTCATGCTTTTTTAGTAACACCCTGAAATTAATCAGAAGATACATCCTAATTTTAGCATCATTTGCAAATTAAAGAGCTCGAAAATTTCCCAAACCATCAAGTTTTGGCTCCTTATTTTAAACAGTCCTTCTCTCAATGTCATGCTACCCTTACAATAGACAGAAAGAAGAAATCAGGCAGCACCTTCAACATGTTGCTCAGAAATCTTCTTAGCTACATCATACAGTTCGTTAGACACACTTTCTACATTTCACATTCCTGCAGGGGATCATCTTGGTAAACTTTCTGCCACTGCATACCAAAGATTCCCCTGTCCTCTAATTTCCAATAACATCTTGGGAACTTGTTTTTGAGCTCTCCCTGACAGCATATTTAAAGTCCAGATTTCTTCTAACAGTCTGTTCAAGGCAATTTAGGCTTTCTCTAACGAGCTACTCAAAATAACTTCAACCTCTTTCTTTTGCCTGGATAGAAAGCCACTCCCACATTTTTAGCCACGCCCTTATTTGTATGGCAACAATCTTACTTCCAGGTACCAAAATATGTATCAGTTACCTATTGCTTTGTAAAAAACTTACCTCAAAACTTAGTCACTTTGTTCAACAGACATTTATTATCCCATCTTTTCTGTAGATCAGAATCTGGGCACAACTTGGCTATGGTTCCTTTGGCTGAGTTTCTCAAAAAGTATCCATCAAGGTGTTGGACAGGGCTATGGTCATCTCAAGGATTTATTTATTTATTTATTTATTTGAGACAGAGTCTCTCTCTGTTGCCCAGGCTGGAGTGCAATGGCACAATCTCGGCTCACAGCAAACTCCACCTCTTGGATTCAAGCAATTCTCTGCTTCAGCCTCCCGAGTAGCTGGGATTACAGGTGCCCGCCACCACGCCTGGCTAATTTTTGTATTTTTAGTAGAGACGGGGTTTCACCATCTTGGCTAGGCTTGCTCTTGAACTCCTGACTTCATGATCCGCCTGCCTCAGCCTCCCAAAGTGCTGGGATTACAGGCATGAGCCACCACACCCAAATGATCTCAAGGATTAATTCCCCAATGCACTTACGTGGCTGGAGAAAAAGAACAGTCAACACAGTCAACATTTCTTGAAAACTTGCTAATGATAGGGCTCCTTTAAAAGACACTGATGGGGCCAGGCGCGGTGGCTCACGCCTGTAATCCTAACACTTTGGGAGGCCAAGGCAGGTGGTTCACGAGGTCAGGAGATGGAGACTATCCTGGCTAACACGGTAAAACCCTGTTTCTACTAAAAATACAAAGAATTAGCCGGGCGTGGTGGCAGGTGCCTGTAGTCCCAGTAACTTGGGAGGCTGAGGCAGGAGAATGGCGTGAACCCAGGAGGTGGAGCTTGCGGTGAGCCGAGATCGCGCCACTGCACTCCAGCCTGGGCGACAAAGCGAGACACCGTCAGAAAAAAAAAAAAGACGCTGATGGTATATTCTACAAGGAGAGTCCTAATATCTGGACTACTTTAGCAAAATGTGCTTGGTCTTTTTAAGTTTGTATCTGGTAAACAAAACTTGTATCAATGGATCTATGCCATTTGGCTCCTAGGAAAATGTCACAAAAGCTATGTAACTATCAGATTATAAAATGGAAATATTTAAAAATCAAAACAACTCTGCTATGATCTGAATGGTTGTGTTCCCCCATATTTACATGTTGAAATTCTCTTCCCCATCCCCTCCATCCCACCCCCAACCACAACCAATGTAATGGTATTAGGAGATAAGACCTTTGGAGAGGTTATTAAGTCTTGAGGGCAGAACCCTCACAAATGGTATTAGTGCCCTTATAAAATAGGCCCAGAGAAGCTTATTTAAACGTTCCACCATATGAGGACACAGTGAGAAAGCACCATCTATAAACAGAAAGCTGGCTTTCACCAGACATCCAATATACTAGTACCTTGATCTTGGACTTCCCAGTTTCCAGAATTGTGAGAAATTAAATTTTTGTTGTTTGCAGGCTAACCAATCTATGGCATATTTTATAACAGCCCAAATGGACTAAGGCAAACTCTCTCTCTCCTTAGTAAGCAGACACAGCTTACAGATCTCACATGTTATTCTGTACCAGTGTATAGTGATGTGGCAAAAAGAAGGATCTGAGAACACAGTATTGATTCTTCCTGCATTTCTTGTGCCTTGTGATTACCTGTATTCTTAAAATTATTAATAAAACTTAATATTTAGTAAAATCTCTAGTTTTCTTAAATGGTGATTTGACTCTCTGCTCTTTAGTTTATCTTAGAAACTACCCAAAGATAAATAAAACCTGCAAAATAAAGCAGTGAAATCAAATTCCCTAATGGTAAGATATTAGAGATGTTCTCAAGAACAAAGACATTATTTGACTTTCTCTTTCTCTCTCTCTCTCTGTGTTTTCTTAAATATATGTAAAGAGTATTTGAGTACATAAAACTTAGAAATTTATAATTTTTAAATTTAAAAGTTAAATAAAAAGCTAGGAGCTTTGTACACAGAGACAACCTTTAATATCGATTAACTTTTAAAATGACAATTTCTTAAATGGAAAATTAAAAGAGAGAAAAACACATGCGACCAGTCACCAGGAAAAAATTGAAAAATAGATGGCACAAATACAAATTTAAGAAACATGTAACTATTTTTATCCAATAGATATTGAAGAAGTTTTTTTCCAAGCGTTGATGCCCAAAATTTTCCAGGGAAACCAGTGCGGGATCAAAGTGGCAACCCTGCAGCCAGCATCATACTAAATGGAGAAAAGCTGAAAGCAGTCCCCCTAAAAACTGGAATAAGACAAGGAGGGATGCCCAGTCTCATCACTCCTATTCAACATAGTACTGGAAGTCCTAGCCAGAACAACCAGGCAAGAATAAATAAAGGCATCCAATTGAAAAAGGGGAGGTCAGATTATCTCTGTTCACAGATGACATGATCTTATACCTAGAAAATCCTAAGGATCCCTCCAAAAGACTCCTAGACCTGATAAACAACTTCAATAGTGTTTTAGGATACAAAATTAATGCACTAAAATCAATTGCATTTTTATGCAACAACAAAGCTCAAACTAAGAACCAAATCAAGAACTCATTCCCATTTATAATAGCCACACACACACAAAATATGTAGCAATACATTTAAACAAGGAGGTGAAAGACCTCTATAAGGAGAATTAGAAAACAATGCTGAATGAAATCAGAGATGACATGAACAAATGGAAAAATATCCCATGCTTATGAATAGGAAAAATCAATATCGTTTAAATGGCCATGCTGCCTAAAGTAATCTACATGTTTAACATTATTCCTCTCAAATTACCAATATCATTTTTCACATAATTAGAAAAAACTATTCTAAAATTCATATGGAACCAAAAATGAGCCTGAATAGCCAAAGCTACCCTCAGCATAAAGATCAAAGCCAGAGGCATTACATTACATTACGTTACATTACCTGACTTCAAATTATACTGCAAGGCTAGAGTAACCAAAACAGCATGATACTGGTATGAAAAAACACATATAGATCAATGCAACAGAATAGAAAACCCAGAAATAAAGCCACACACATACAACCAACTGATCTTCAACAAAGTCAACAAAAATAAATAGTGAAAGGCCATCTTATTCAATAAATGGTGCTAGGAAAACTGGCTAGCCATATGCAGAAGAATGAAACTGGATCCCTATCTCTCACCATACACAAAAACTAAATCAAGATGGATTAAAGATTTAAATATAAGACCTCATAGTAAAAATGTTAGAAAAAAAGCTTGGAAAAACTATTTTGGACATTGGCCTAGGCAAAGAATTCATCACGAAGACCCCAAAAACAAATGCAACAAAACAAAAATAGACAAATAGGACTTAATTCAACTAAAGAGTTTCTTCAAAGCAAAAGAAATAATCAACAGAATAAACAGACAACCTACAGAGTGAGAGAAATGATCTGCAAACTAACAATCCAACAAAGGGCTAATATCTAGAATCTATAAGGAACTTAAGCAAATCAACAAGAAATAAGCAAATAGCCCCATTAAAAAGTAGGCAAAGTACATGAACAAACACATTTCAAAAGGAGACATATAAGTGGCTGAGAAACATATTAAAAAATGCTCCACATCACTGATCATCAGAGAAATGCATATCAAAACCACAATAGATACCATACACATCAGTCAGAATGGCTATTATTAAAAAGTCACAAAAGTAGCAGATGTTGGCAAGGATGCACAGAAAAGTGAACTCTTACACACTGTTGGTGGTAATTTAAATTAGTTCAACTCTTACGGAAAACAATATGAGGATTTCTCAGGTAACTAGATATAGAACTACCATTTGACCCAACAATCCGGCTACTCTCTACCCAAAGAAACAGAAATTGTTTTATCAAAGGACACATGCACTTATATATTTATTGCAGCACTGTTCATAATAGCAAAGTCATAGAATCAACTTAAATGTCCGTAAATGGTGGACTGGATAAAGCAAGTGTAATGGAATACTACGCAGCCATAAAAGAATGAACTCATGTCCTTTGCAGCAACATAGATGAAGATGGAGGCCATTATCCTAAACAAAGTAACTCAGAAACCAAAAGTCCAACTCCATATATTCTCAAGTATAAGCAATAGCTAAATAATGGGTACATACGGACATAAAGATCACACTGGGGACTCCAAAACTGGAGTAAGCAGGGCAAGGGTTAAAAAATTACTTATTGGGGCTGGACACTGTGGCTCACGCCTGTAATCCTAGCACTTTGGGAGGCCGAGGCGGGTGGATCATCTGAGATCAGGAGTTCAAGACCACCCTGGCCAACATGGTGAAACCCTGTCTCTACTAAAAACACAAAAAATTAGCCAGGCATGGTGGCATGCACCTGTAATCCCAGCTACATGGGAGGCTGAGGCAGGAGAATCGCTTGAACCCAAGAGGCGGAGGTTGCAGTGAGCCGAGACTGTGCTGCTGCGCTCTAGCCAAGGGGACAGAATGAGACTCTGTCTCAAAAGAAAAACAGAAAGTGCTTATTGGGTGCAGTGTTCACTATTTGGGTGATGGGTTTACAAAAAGCCCAAAACTCAACATTATGCAATATACCCACATAACAAACTTACACATGTACCTCTGAATCTAAAATAAAATAAAATAACAATAATAAATAAAGTGTATACAGTTTATAGGTAGTGGGCAGTTTGACATTATGTAAATACAGAGGAGCATGATTTTAAAAGTCTCCTTTGTTTTAACCAAGTATTTTCACTCCTATAAACTTAGAGTCATATTTTGAGATGTAGAGAGATTTATGCATTAAAATGTTATTAGCACATAATATAAAACATAATTGTCCAAAAATAGAAGAATTTTATGAAGTATGATAATCCATAGAGTCCATATAATCTCATAATTTAAAATTATAATCATAATAGTAATCACTATTGACTAATAATAGCCAATATTCACTGCACGTTTCTTAAATACCAGGTATCATTTTCATACACCTATTTATGTAGTGGTATATATGTCTTAGAGGTAGACTGTATTAAAAGGTGTTATTTCTGGCTTGATTATGGGAAATTTTCATTATCTCTTTTGTATTCTTGTGTTTTTAAGTTTTTCTATAGTAAACTTTTTGTTTAATGATCATGAAAGAAATATAAAAATGAAAGGAACTAGAATGTTTTCATTATATGCTGACTGACTAGGGTCTGACTGAGCCTCTCTCATAGAGAGATGCTAAATCAACCTATGAATTCTATATATTCTACTGTAGCAAAAAAAACCACAAAGCCCAACTTTTCGTTATCTCTCATTCCTTACCTTCAAGTCAAATATCACATTTTTAGAATTTAAAAATGCTTGCTGTATTTGTATTTTAAAAAGAAGGGAGTGGCTTTTGGAGCATATTTGGACTCTGGATGGTTTCCTGGTAATGAAGAGATGGTATTCTGTAAACTCGATTATTTGTCTTTCACACACTACTGAGAACTATGCTCTGTGCTGTGATATGAGGTTTGAATAAATGAGTTCTCTTAGGAAGAAAGAGGAGTGAATATTCCATCTTCTATGTTATTCTCTCAGTGTTTATTGCTCCAGACAGACTACAGAACAAATGTCCCACATTCCGTTGGTCTCCAAAGAAAGAGATCCAGCCCCAAACTGCCTAAAAAATTTACTTGAAAATCTGTTCAAGAAAAGACAAACAAGCCAACAAAGTTAAATATAGACAATAGAAAATTACAAAATTGTATCTGGCTATGTTTTCTATTCAGTTCTGATGTGCTAAATCATATTATTCAATACCATTTAAAAATATTTATAGAGTGAGTACATATTTTATCCATATTCCTTCTATCCCAGTTTTAGGCAAGAACAACCGAAGTTTTACTCCAGAAAAATAAGCTTCTAAGCTCATAAACCTAAAGGGACTTGGTCCTGTCTTCAGGGAATTTAAGTGAGCCAATTGATGGTAGAAATGAAAACAAGTTCTTCCAATGCTGTATAGCACAGTTACCTCTTTGTATGAAGGTTAGACTTGATGACTTTGAAAAGACTCTCATCTTCATGCTTCCAGGAATCTATGATTTGATAAGTCTTGGCCTTCTTTCTATCTCATTCTGTTTCCTTCCATGTGGTTTGTAATCCATTTGGAAATACTTACAGAACCAGGGTCTAAAATGGTCAGCATTGACAATAGCACCTTTTAAAAAGTAATGAAACTATGTACTAAACCAAATGATTCCTTAGTATGTCTTCTGTTAATTAAGATTTCTTTTTTTTGAACAAAGCACTTTGTAGTTTTAACTATAGCTCACTTTCATGTGATCATATTGGGTTTAATTAGTTCCAAGTGAGAACAAAGAGGACCTATCTAGGACAATCACACTGAACTTAATTTAGAATCCAAGTGCCAAAATATTGCATATTAGAAATTTTATATGTACAATTAATAGCCTGCTCAGCGACACAGCAATATATAATCTAATTCAATACAAAGCACACTCTTGGGTAATCAGACATTGGTGTTTTAAATGACTTGTTTGTTATGATGTTTCTTCACTTGCATTTTAAGTATTAATCACCAGATTTTATAAAATAAACATAGAAAAGAGGGCAACTCCTTTGGTGAAGCTACTTCAAAAGTGGGAAAGGGAGGAAAATTAGGTCATTCGGCATTCTGCCTATAATTGCATTTTTCACTACTGCCTTAATTAGAACTGTTGAATCATTTTAGTTACTGAACATTCCTTCTCAACACGATTAGTTTATATTACTATGAGCAAACTCATTATCACCTTCTTTAACTTTGCTTTAAATTTATTGGTTTAATTATCTGAATTTGCAATAGCAAATGTACAACTTCAGGGCATCTCGTTTCATATTTCAATTTTCTAAAACACACTCTTAGAATGTAGGGAGATAACTTAGATACTTTTTCTGAAATGAGTGAAGTTATGTGGCATTATTTTGCTTCAAATTATTACAAAAAGGAAGGATCACTGAAAGAAATTTTTTTGAGTTAAACATTGTTAATGATCAAGAGATGATGAATAGAAATATTTATTTGTATTTTTTCTTTATATTTGTAACACACCAAACTAGATTAGTATTTCTACTGCATTTATTATGTAGAGATGTGCACAGTTTTATGCAAATAATACAATGAAGAAAAGTGAAAAAATTGGAAAGGTTTAGACAAGAACAACTAATCAGTGGAACTCTCCTCATTATTCTGCTTTAAGGTCAACATCAATCCAGAAAAGAAAATATTGAAAAGGGAGAGGAAATAAATACAATAAAGTAATTCAAATAATGTCATTGGTCACTTTGGGGTTACTAAATCATTCCATACTCCAATTAGTTTCCTTATTCCCCTTTCTAATCAATCTACAGTTCCTACTTGGGCTACCACATCATAATTTCGCCCACCTTAGGTTATTTTGCAGCTCTTGGAATTCAGATAAATGGAATCACAGAGTATACTCAGAAGAGAAATTTTAAGTTTCAATTTCTGTTTTTTGCCTGGAAACAACTCCTCAAACTAAGGGGTTAGTCTGTGTTTCCTCAGACTGAGGGGTCAATGTGACCATGCAAAGACCAACATTAAACTTTCTGGGAGCTATGTCCGGAGATATTTTGTCAAGAATAATTATCAATGGGAAAGTCACAAATTTCCTTTCACCTGTTTAAGCAGGATCAACATGCAATAAAAACAATATCATCACCTAAATTCCCCAAGTATTTAAGTCCATAGTGAGATATGACTACAGGTTTTAAGTAATCAGGCATCTCCAAATGTCTCTAATTTCCAGTTTTACTATGGATTAATTCATTTGACACTAGAGTTCTTATATAAAATAAGATCTGTCAATGCACTTCCAAATCACATTAGACACAAGACATGCTGTTTTCCATAAATGGATACATTTGAAAATTGAGAATACAATATTTAAGAATTAATTTTTCCTAGCATTGTAAAATACACTGGATTATGTTTATTTATCAAACACTCTATTAGAAGACAAGATTCATCTGAGTCACTGAATCTTAGTGGCTCTTAGCAAACAGTCACCTTAATTTTGAGTCTGTGTTTTCTTCATTTCAGTTTTCTGAGAACCACCTTTTCCCATGGACTTTAGCCTACTGAGGAAAATAAATATATAGAAGTTATAATGTATGTAAATAAATGCTTATATGTAGGTCCCCACAGATTGCAATGGAGTTTGAGAGGATTAGGCAATAAGAATGCCCATGGGAGAAATAGTGGTTATACACACAGAAGACAACATGTGATCTAACTCTTGTTACAAGATTTTAAATGTGCAGAAAAGCTAGAAGGATTTTCTAAGAAGAGGAAATAACATGGAAACAAGTCCTGTTCACCAAAGAACATAACTTTTTATAAGGCTATTGCAGGATATAATTTAGAAATGATGAAAAATGCAGCTGGAGTAGTTGGTAGGGATGAGTGTGGGGTCTTGTATGTTACACTGAGCAAAGCGACTTAATTCTTTGAAGTTTTTTTTCAAACAAGATAGTAGAATCATCATAGTAACATTTCAAAAGGTTGATGTATTCTCTTTTGCTGCCTGATATGATCTGGCTCTTTGTCCCTACACAAATCTCATCTTGAATTGTAATTCAAATTGTAATCCCCACATGTTAGGTGAGGGACCTCAAAGGAGAAGATTGGATCATGGAGGTGGTTCTCCCATGCTATTCTTATGATAGTGAGTGAGTTCTCACAAGATCTGATGGTTTTGTAAGGGGCTTTTCCCCAATTTGCTCTGCACTTCTCTCTCCTGCCACCATGTGAAGAAGAACATATTTGCTTCTCCTTCCACCATGATTGTAAATTTTCTGAGGCCTCCCCAGCCATATGAAACTGTGAGTCAATTTAACCTCTTTTCTTTATAAATAACCCAGTCTCAGGTACTTCTTCAAAGCAGTGTGAGAACAGACTAATACACTGCCCTAACAAATTACCACAAATTCAGTGGTTTGGGCCACACAGATTAATTTTTAAAATTTTGTTTAATTTTATTTTATTTTAAGTTCCAGGATACATGTGCAGGACATGCAGGTTTGTTACATAGGTAAATGTGTGACATGGTGGTTTGCTGCGCCTATCAACCCATCGCCTAGGTATTAAATCCCACATGGATTGGCTATTTATTCTAACCTCTCCCTCTCTCAGCACTTCCCACCCTGACAGGCCCCAGTATGTGTTGTTCATTCCTTCTTTATTAAGGGGTACTGAGAGAACTGACTAGCCATATGCAAAAAAAAAAAAAAAAAAAAAATTGACACCGGACTCCTCCCTTACACTTTATACAAAAATTAACTCAAGATGGATTAAAGACTTAGATGTAAAACCCAAAACTATAAAAATCTTAGAAGAAAGAAAATCTAGGCAATACCATTCAGGACATAGACATGCAAAAAGATTTCATGACAAAAACATCCAAAGCAACTGCAACAAAAGCAAACATTGACAAATGAGATCTAAGTAAACTAAAGAGCTTCTGCACAGCAAAGAAACTATCATCAGAGTGAAGAGACAACCTACAGAATGGAAGGAAATTTTTGCAATCTATCCATTTGACAAAGGTCTAATATCCAGAATCTACAAGGAACTTAAACAAATTTATAAGAAAAAGTCCCAAAATCCCATTAAAAAGTGGGCAAAGGACATGAAGAGACATTTCTGAAAAGAAGACATTTATGTAGCCAACAAACATGAAAAAAGCTCAATATCACTGAGAAATGCAAATCAAAATCACATTGAGATAACTTCTCATGCCAGTCAGAATGGCAGTTATCAAAAAGTCAAGAAACAACAGATGCCAGTGAAGCTAAGCATCTAGGAATACTTTTACACTGTTGGTGGGAATGTAGTTAGTTCAACCATTGTGGAAGACAGTGTGCTGATTCCTCAAAGACCTAGAGGAAGAAATACCATTTGACCCAGCAATCTCATTACTGTGTATATACCCAAAGGAATATAAATCATTCTATTATAAAGATACATGTATGTGTATGTTCATTGCAGCAGCATTCACAATAGCAAAGACATGGAATCAACCCAAATGCCCATCAATGACAGACTGGATAAAAAAAATGTGGTACATATACACCATGGAATACCAAGCAGCCATAAAAAGTAATGCAATCATGTCCTTTGCAGGGACATAGATGGAGTTGGAAGCAATTATCCTCAGCAACCTAATGCAGGAACAGAAAAACAAACACTGCATGTTCTCACTTTTAAGTGGGAGCTGAACAATAGTCCATTCTCATGCTGCTGTGAAGAAATAGTTGAGACTGGGTAATTTATAAAGAAAAGAGGTTTAATTAATTCACAGTTCTGCATGGCTTGGGAGGGCTCAGGAAACTTACAATCATGGCAGAAGGCAACTCTTCACAGGGCAGCAGGAGAGAGAATGAATGCCAGCTAAGGAAATGCCAGACACTTATAAAACCATCAGATCTCATGATACTCACTCATGATCATGAGAACAGCACTGGGGAAACTGCCCCCATGATTCAATTACCTACATCAGGTCCTGCCCTTGACATGTGGGGATTACAATTCAAGAAGAGATTTTGAGTGGGGACACAGTCAAACCATATCAGGTAAATAAGCAGTAGTTTTACTAATTTATAAGCAAATGGCACAGTAGTTTTACTAATTTAATGAGCAAATGGCACATCAATAAGCAGTTGATGTGTGCTTTTCAATGTGCATGATTTTGATTTGAGGTAGGCTGAGCATGTTATCCTAACAGTTCATAGTGGAGGAACAGTTGCCTGACTTCCAGATTGCCTCCCAGTTCCTTCTTTCAAGCGCTCATGAGGCCTCTCTGCACTCCCTGCCCTTGGATTCCTTCAGATACTTGGATACCTACTATACCTGCTGATAAACTTCCCTTAGATAAAAGTTTGCTTGAGTGATTTTATGTTACTTAAAATGGAAAGCAACTTGACAAAGATGACATGCATGCACATATAGCTTAGTCTGTTACTTTAAAAAATTAATATTTTATATCACATTTCTCACTTGTTGTGGCTTTTGATTTATTAAAGTTGATTTCTTAGCTCCATCATTAAAATTTTATATTTTTTAGAGAAGGTGTGAGTGGCTAACACATGAAATATAGCACAGAAACTTGATAAAAACTGAAAACTGTTAATTAGATTTTTCTGTATATAAGTCATTAATGATCTTAGCTAGGAAAATTCATCTGTGTGGCTCATGCACTAGGCAGATTACTCCGAGGAAAGTTGGGGAGATAGGAATGTGGAGCCATCTTGGATAGACTTTTCTTTCAAAATGCACATCTGAGATATGAAGGACAAGGATCAGATGGTGGTTAGAGGGTGAAGCCAAGGGAGGAGAAAAAATAATTTTTCAGGAAGGGAGTGGCTAGTATATTTAAAGAATTAGTAGAAAAAATGGCAAGAAAAATGATGAGTTAAATTTATAAAATAAATTGGCATACGTATTGAGGTGTGCAACAAATACAGACAGAGCAAGAAAATAAGAAAATATGGTATAGAACTTCTGCTTATTACCAAGGTGGAGTAACAGGGACTGAATCTACCCTACCACCTGAAACAAACAAATAACAAACAAAACATATAGAACAAACAAAACATATAGAACAACAGCTTTCAAGGTACTGGACATCAAGCAATGAAATAAAATGTTCCTCGAGGGCCAGGTGCGATAGCTCACACCTGTAATCCCAGCACTTTGGGAGGCCAAGTTGGGTGTATCACTTGAGGTCAGCAGTTTGAGACCAGTGTGGGCAACATGGCGAAACCCCATCTCTACTAAAAACACAAAAAAATTTATCTGGGCGTGATGATGCATGTCTGTAATCCCAGCTATGTGGGAGGCTGAGGCATGAGAATTGCTTGAACCTGGGAGGTGGAGGTTGCATTGAGCTGAGATTGTACCACTGCACTCCAGCCTGGGCAACACAGTGAGACTCTCTCTCTCAAAAAAAAAAAAAAAAAAAAAAAAAGAAAGAAAAAATTCCCTGAGAAATGAAGTAAGCTCCATAATTGATAAAATTGATTCCTTGAGAGGATTTCAGGTCACAATGCATGAGAAAATAAGTCAATCAGTCCCTAGAAGACTCACTGAACTGATGAGATATCTCTGAAGGTACAGGGACACCAAGATGGGCTAGAGTTCACAGTACTAACTTCACAGGGAGAAAACCCTAGAGATCTTCAGAGGGCCCCCATTACGTAGTACACAGTACTGTGTGGCACGCAGTACTGATCAGCACATGCATGTGAGGTAACTCTCCAAAACTGTGGAAAGAATCACTTAAAATGCTTACGTGCCCACTGACCACACAGAACTCTAAATAGTGCCTGCTCTGAGCAGCAAGAGAAGAAAAACTCTCAATAGTACATTGGGTAGCATACTTAGGAAGTTGTTACTTTAATGGAAATAATTGGCCCTAGAGTGATCACTGATCTCAATTCACCTAATAAATTTTAGAAAAAAGACCTAAAAGAATCAAATTGTTTCCAAATAAGTCAGCAAAATCCCAGACCAAAGTTCAAAAATACCTATAGAAATATAAAAATATTAACACTCAAAAAGGTAAAATTCACAATGTCTGGCATCTTAAAGATTATTAGGCAGGCAAACAAATGAACAAGAAATCACATGCTATAATGAGAAGAATAATCAGTTGAAACTGATCCAGAATTGACAGATATAAAATTTAAAAAGACACTAAAATTATTAATGTAACTGCATTTCATCTGTTCAAAAACGTTAAGTACAAACATGGACTATATTAAAAAGATCCAAATCAAACATCTAGAGATTAAAATTATAATGTCTAATATGAAAAAATGCACTAGACAAATAACATCAGTATGATGTCATGTTTAGCTTGATATAGATACAGATGGTTACTCATAAAAATACTTTTAAATATACACAAGCTCGTTCTTATAGATTAGATTGTATACCTTTCTAACAAATATAATTCATATGTTGTAGACTTAACCCCAATGTGACTGTATATGGAGGCAGAACCCCAAAAAATGTAATAAAAGTTAAGGGAGGTCATAAATATAGGGCTCTAATCCAATAAAATTAGTGTCTTATAAGAAGAGGAAGAGTCACCAGGAATCTTTCCCCCTCTACATATGCAGAGGAAAGGCCATGTGAAGGCACAATGAGAAGGTGCTTCTCTGCAAACCAAGGGAGAGAGGCCTCAGAAGAAATCAACCCTAATGGTACGGTGAACCTCAAATATCTGAGAGAGGTCTCGGTTAATTTAGAAAGTTTATTTTGCCAAGGTTGAGGACATGCATTTGTGACACAGGGTCAGGAGATCCTGACGACATGTGCCCAAGGTGGTCAGAGCACAGCCTGGTTTTATACATTTTAGGGAGATGTGAGACATCAATCAACATATGTAAGATGAATATTGGTTCGGTATGGAAAGGTGGGACAACTGGAAGCAAAGGCAGGACAACTCCAAGCAGGGAGGAGGCTTCCAGGTCACAGGTAGGTGAGAGACAAACACTGCATTGAGTTTCTGATCAGCCTTTCCAAAGGAGGCAACCAGATATGCATTTATCTCAGTGAGCAGAGGGGTGACCTTGAATAGAATGGGAAGCATGTTTGCCCTAAGCAGTTCCCAGCTTGACTTTTCCCGTTAGCTTAGTGACTTGGGGGCCCCAAGATTTATTTTCTTTTCATAGTACCTTGATCTGGGACATCTGGCTCATAGAGTTGTGAGGAAAAAAATGTCATTTTGTAAGCCAGCCAGACAGTCTGTGATATCTTTTACAGTCCCAATAGACTAATATGCTAGGATATACACATATATTTTCTTATTCTGTCATTTGAGTTGGCCTGGAAACATGGTCACCCCAGTAGCAATGAACACTCCTAGTACCCAGATCTTGGTTTCTAATACCATTTTCTAATAAAAGGAATCAGTGTTCCTTGGATAAATGACTATTTATACAATTGGGATAGTAAATATGCAATATGAGCCACAAAGTATACGGTGCGTATAAAAACAAAAACAATATTGGTAACATGTCAAAGGGACAGAAGACCCAACTGACAGAACTACCAATGGCCAAAGCAGGGAACAATTTGAGCAACAAAATTAACAGAGTAGTGTTGGATTATAACCCGAAGTATAAAATAACTATGTAATAATCCACATGAAAGAAATGGAAGGAAGGAAAAAAAGAAGGAAGGAAGGAAAATAAGAAAGGAAGGGAGAGAGAGAGGGAGAAGAGAGGAGAGGAGGAAAGAAAATGAAGAGAGGAAGGAAAACATAAATTTTCTATGCGAAAGAATCCCACATGATTTATGTAGACACTCTAGCCTCAAGGAGATGATACATAATGCCTCATTTCTTACATATGGGGTTCACATAGTGACATGCTTCCAAAGAGTATAATATGGAAAACAGGAAAAGAATGTTTTTATGGTGAAGAAAACTGACAAACACTACCTTAGCCAGGTTTTCAAGGTGTGCACCAACAGTGATGACTCACATTGATAGTATGCACTCTTGATATGATATAATGAGACTGAGATATTACCTTTCTTTTCTCACTCTTGAAACACATAACCTGAGTTTAACCATGAGAAAAATATAATAGAACTCTAAATTGTGGGACATTCAACAAAATACCTAAGTATATTTCAACAAAATATCAAGGTCATCAAAAACAAGAAAAGTCTGAAAAACTATCACAGCCAAGAGATGCCTAAGGAGATATACTGCGTAAATATAATGTAACAACCTTGATGACATTCTGGAACATAAAAAAGTAAAAATTAAAGAACTTGGAATAAAGTGCTACTTTAGGTAATAATAATATATCAATATTGGTTCATTAATTGTAACACATGAACCATAATGAAGATATTAAAACAGAAAAAAAAAACAGATGTGGAAGTATATGGAAAATTTCTGTACTATCTCCATGCTGTTTTCATGAGTAAACAAAAATAACAACCAAACATTGGATAGCCTTTATGGCAAATCCGGCAATGCAGATGAAAAGATTAGTGATCTTGCAGAAATGGAATAAAACCTCCCAAGATGAAACAAAGGAAAAGAAGAATACAAAAACTGAAACAGGCTTCAGTAAACTGTGGCACATCGAGTGGCTTAAAATACATTTGATTAAATCAGCTGAAGGAGAGAGTTGGGGGTGCTGATGTGGGTATAGGTAAGAAACAAAATTGAAGAAATACTGGCTAAAAGTGTAAAACTATAGCCTATGGACTCAAGAAGCTCAGCAAACTCTAAGCTCAAGAAACATGAAGAAAAGCACAAGGCATATCATAATCAAATTGCTTAAAACTATGGATGAAAAGAATATTTTAAAAACAGCCAAAGAAAAAATACACATTACATGCAAGTGAACAAAGATAACGATAACAGCAGATATTTTTTCATGCAAGTGAGAAGATAATAGAGTCACTTTTAAAAATTACTAGAAACATGAATTTCCTATTGTCACTGTAACAAATCATCACAAACTTAGTGGCTTGATACAATATGAATTTACTGTCTGACATTTCTGGGAATAAAAAGGCTAAAATTATTTCCACTGGGCTAAAATTAAGGCTTTGACGGGGTTGTGTTCCTTCTGGAAGCTCTAGGGGAAAATCTGTTCCCTTACTTTTTCCTGCTTCAGGCCAACTGCATTCTTTGGCTCGTGATTCCGCCATCTTCAAAATCATCACCTTCCTTCCTCTTGTATAACTTTTTCTGTCTTTTCATCTTTTCTCTTTCATCAGGGCACTTGTGATTACATCAGCCTCACGCAGAATATCAACATAACATCCCATCTCATGTTCCTTAACTTAATCATTCATAATATCTCCTCTTGAGCTTCTTAATTCAATCATCCAGAAAATTCCTTTTACCATGTATGTTATTTACAGGCCCCCAGAACCAGGACATGGACATCTTTGAGGGCCTATTATTCAGCTTACCATAATTGTCAACCTATAACTTTACATGCAACACAAATATATCAAAAACATTTCAAATAAAAACTATTTCATACATAAAAAAATCTGAGAGAATTCATCACAAGCAACTCACACAAGAAATAATAAAGTCATTCATGTAGAAAAAACTAATGCCTTATGGGATGTATGATTCCATTTGCCTAAAATTCTAGCAAAAGATTTTCAGGAATATATATGGCATATGTAGCAGAAATGACTCATGTTGATTAGCTATGCATTGGTTAAGAATATCAAGTTTATCAAATTCACAATAATATGTTCTGGGCTATTTGTTGCCTGTGTTTATAGACTCCCAGATATGTCATAAACAAAGGGAAATAGTAATTCTCATTATATTAGCATTCATATGGAAAAAAATGGGCTGGGTACAAATAGAGAAAATCATAGAAGTCTATGAAAACAGCAAAAAAAATTCTCAAAAAACAGATGGTACATTATAGCTTTGATGTTACAAATTGAAATAAGATTTTAAAATATAAATTTTATATTTTATTTATTTATGAGTTTTTGAGGGCTGGGGGAGTGGGCAGTGGTTACAAAATGTCAAATGCTACTAAAAACCAACCAGATGATCTTGGGAAAGTGACTTGAGTTTCTCTTACCCAGTTACTTCTACCATAAAAATAAAGGAATATGGATTATATAACCTTATTATATAACCTAATAAATTCTTCCAACTCTGAGACTTTTTCCAAGTCCACTGGTAGGTAGCTTCAAGAGGCTCAATAGCTTAAAAATTTTATTCTGAAAATCTCTCGTTAAGAAAATGCATTGTATTAGCTCAAATGTTCTCAAATGCGATTTTTAAAACATCCCAGTCAGTACTGTGTATGTAGCTGTATGTCTTCTTCACCCATTGCATGAAAAATCCATGACTTCCTGGAATAATAGCAGGAAAGAAAAGAATAGACTTATCTGCCTGAACGGTTGAGACACAGAAAAATCCTACCTTTACCATGCTTCTATTGCATTCTCTGGTCTCTGCGTCTTACATATAACAGCAATTGGAGTATGAATGAGTAGACATTTGGTAAGCCCAACAACTGTATTTTAAATTTATCATTTAAACTTATATTAGATAATTGCACATCACTCTTTCAAAACGGCAGTTACCTTTTTGCATTGGCATGCTTTTTGGATTAAATAAAAAAGTAAAATTCTGTCTACATGTTCACATGGCAGGTGCTCTATTAGCCAACACTAAGTTCAAACACAGCTAAAATAAAATAGACAAAGCCAAAGGTGATTTTAAAAGAGATAATTGAAAATACTAGAATACTTGAGTTTTATGCAAACTTTAACTGCAAACAATCATACTGCCAAGAGATAGTATAATACATTTCATGCATGCTGAGAAAATGTTCTGCATATATAAATTATCTGTGTTCTTTCCCTGTAACACATGTTTCTGAGATTTTCAACAGAAAATAAAATACATAGGGACAAAGGATGCCTCCAAACCCTTCAATAAAGCCAAGAATCTCAAAATATATTTCAAATATGCTCATTTTCAGAAAACTAAAACCATATCCACTCAGCGTGGTTTGATGCAAATAGCAATTAAGGAAGAAAGTTATCAAAGGAAAAGTGATGACCCCAGTTTCATCTTAGTCAATGCAAATTAACATTTACAAGCATGGATAAAACCATTCTATAAATTGGTAATGCCTTGTTAATCTTCATTGAAAAAAAATCTGACAATTAAGGGGGAAAATATATGGTAAATAGCTGGCAAGTTAACAGAAGCTATGCTAAATTCATTATTCGGTATTTTGCCCAACCTTGTTGAAGAGGACACTTGGTGGGGAAAAGATCATCAGCAAAACCAGCAGGGGATTAATTAAATGGGGATGGTTTATTCACAACCTTTCTCATCAGTTATGTTCCACTGAATCTAATGGTAAACAGTGCAGAAGCCAAAGAGAAAAGTTGAAGACAAGATCTCAAGCAAAATCATCATGCATTTTATTCATCTGATATTTACTGACACTGCTGTGTCTGGCTTTGATCTATACTCTCGTATTTTGTCCTGCTCAGCATGAAATTCCGTTTGGACCACCCTGTCACTCCTACTCCACCTCAACCCCTCCGATTGCTCCTGTAAATCACCTGCTCTAACTTCTCCTGAGATTTTGTTTGTCCAAAGAGGCCTATTTTAGGCTTATCCAAATAACAGGCAGTGTCTATCAATCAATGAGTAGCCACCACATTTATAGGTGACTCCTTTGAGAAATCCCTAAGCGTAGTCAAATGTGAAACCAACTGAAATAAACTTTTCAGCCTCCTGTGTTGGTGCTGTCATTATTCATTATACATGCCTTTTTTTGCTTCTGTACCCAGACTCTATAGCAAATGTGGAGATAACAGAGAGATATGGAATTCTCTCTTTTTTTCTTCACCTTCTTCTTCTTAAGCACTTACGGATACTGACAAAGCTTTAAAAATAATAAAGTCATGAGTAGTCATCAGCACAGTCCAGGTGATTAAGTGGAGTCATTAGTAAATTCTAAGCAACAGCAGCTAATTGTCTTAGGGTCTTAAAGATATTGACTATTAAAGCTTACTTACATCAGGAATGCTTTATTTTCTGTTATCGAGGATCTAAACCACAGGTGTTAAAAACAAGCAGACATTTTTGCTAGGCAAAGAGTCCATTTGTAGACAATCCATTTTCCTCCTGATGTACCAGAGCAACTATTCCTGCTGCTGAGAGCTCCAGAAGAGCAGCGTGGTGGATGGAAGAGGGAGAGCAGAGGAAGACACAAAGGTACTACTTACCTTTATACCTTGGGAGAGGCGCAGTGTGGCCTTCAGAAAATACAGAGTCTCCTTCCTTTGGACCCAAAAGCTCAAAACAGAAAAAGAGGTAATAGTGAATAAAAGTGCTTACTGTTTCAATTCCTAAGAAGAAAGTTTCCTGATAAAATCTTAGGTGGAGAAGAGGATTAAACAGAGGAATCAAACAGTATTAGTGTTATGTGTTATGAACGGTGTCATGGGATTATGGGAAATCTATTATATATAAAAAGTCCGAACATCATTATCTTCTTTACACTTATAATATTTTTAAATAAAGGCGTTATTTGATATCACAGGCATTGGCAGTTTTCTTTATTAAGTAAAAACCTAATTATCTTTTATTGAAAATAAATGAAATAAAGTTCCAGAAGAAAGTGGAAAAAATACATTTTTGGTATTTTCTGCTGTATTTTCTAAAAGATCAAGGCATAA
This sequence comes from Homo sapiens, assembly GCF_000001405.40. NCBI lineage: Eukaryota > Metazoa > Chordata > Mammalia > Primates > Hominidae > Homo > Homo sapiens. Next base: position 156,256,660 of record NC_000004.12, on the reverse strand, counting down.
GAAAACTTCCAAACTAGCAAATTATTCTCACCTTTCTTTTAAAAAAAATCTTAAAAAATTATACAAAAAGAAAAAAATAATTCATAAAGAATATATATCTACAAATCAAAGTCAAATATCTGTAAATTATTAAATATGTTATAAAATATCTATTACACAAAATGATATTGTTATTATAAGTGAAATTTTTAAAAATATCATTGATGGGAAATACTCAAGACAAGTTAAATGTGAAAAACAGGGCATGCAGGTGCATATATTTTATGAGCTCTATGAGGTATATATGAATATGCAGCACATTAACTGTATTCTTTGCAAATTTTGAATTAGGGATGTTATACATTTCAAAAATGTATAGCCAGGGGAAAGTATTTAAAATCTGAGAAATTTTCTTACCTGAAAAAACAAAGAAAAAAATCTAAAAGTGTGATTCTCACAGTGCAAACAATGTGTTAAATAAACTATTACCACCTACCTACTAATATGAAAGAAAAAACATCTTAAATTTAAGGCCCATCAGTTTTATCTGACAAAATAGTTATTATCTATGTCAAACTTTTTGTCAGATAAAACGGATGAGTCTTGTATTTAGTCATTGACCTATTCATAATGTAATGCCACAATATGATCAGATGAGAAGAAACCACATATATTTTCAAAGAAAAGAAGCTTAAGAACTGTAGACAATGATGCCCAAAAACATAATTTGGTGGTTTAAGTACTAAATAGACAAAATATATGTATTTACGTGAAGCATGCAATAACTAACTTCATCAAAGAAAGTACTGTTGATTTTAGTTCTGAAGTGTCATTGCCATGACTACAGCTCCCTGGAGAACGAATTTAGCCTTTCTGTGAAAAGCAATATTTATTTTTAAACAAGTACTTCAGTGACACCTTCATCCTTGCGAATGTGTAACTCGATGATTTATGCATGAGAAGGGAAAGATTGCAATCTCTTCAAGTCTTCTTAGTCCAAATGAAACAGAAATTTGAAGACATTTACCTTTCATTCTGAGTGATAACAGGTTCTCACATGTATTGTCAGATAATTGCCTCAATTTTTTCATTCAATTTGGCAGAGAATTCCCCAATTCTCTGCACAGGAAAGAACTGAGATTATGCAAAACCAACACTGTTGCAGAGTTCTAAAATGAAGGGCAAACAGATGAATAAAGCCAAGAAAACATCTAGGAGAGGCTCTTGGTTACTATGGAATTACAAGCAACTCCAGAAAAGCTTGTGTCAACATGGGTTTTTAAATGACCAAGGAGTGTTCTGAGAGGTTTTGCCATGAGAGCAAGTAAATACAAAAATTCATTTGGAAAATCTGAAGCACAGATGGCCACTGGTGTGTTGGCAAAATACAATTCCCAGTGCATCTCTGTGTCGGCACAGTAATTGTGTGTTTTAAGTTTATCTTTTTTATTGTTTATTTTTTTTCCTAAGCACAAAACAGATTTATGGCCCTAGTGAAATCTTTAAACATTTTTGGAATTAGAAAATCCACTGCAACTGAAATAAGGTGCAAACACTTCACTTCTAATTCTACTGTTGTATTACATGATCCACTGGCAAAAGATTTACCTGCTGTTGAGGTTTATTCTGCCCATTTCATCTTTCTTTCTCTATAGGTAACTGAGGTGAGAATCATGTGGGTTTTAGAGTCAAACCTACCTTTAAATTCCAGCTCGGTCACAGGCTCGTGGTTTAACTATGGACAGAATGCTTAGCCTCTCTAAGCCTCAGGTTCTTCATCTAGAAAATGGTGTGTGTGTGTAGGGGGGTAATACCATATACCTATAGAATAGGACTTCTATGAGAATTAAATGAGATTACGTATGTAAAGTTTCTGACACTCAAGTCCTCAAATGTTAGTGGATCCTCACCCCTCACTTGACCTCTTCCTTCCTTCCTGGTTATAATCTGGGACTGGGCCTTTAGCATTTCCCACCATTTCTTCTCTTGAAGATTAGATAGAGATGAGAAACTAAGTAAGGATACAAGCTGTAGGATAGAAAAGAGAGAAATTACAATAAAGAAGAAACAAAAGCTTCTATTCTGTAATTTTTTGTTTATTTGTTTGTTTTTCCAGATTGATTCTAACTCAGCCGTACTTCATTTCAACTGAATATTGAACTTGAAAAAATTCAGAATCAGAAACATGGAAACACATAGTCAGAGGAAAATAAAACAATTCAAGAGTAGAACTCTTTAAGAAAAAAATAAGTAAAACAGAAAAAATAAATAAATGAAGTAGGTTCCATTTAACAATATTACCCAAGTATTTTCCCCTATTCATCACAAAGTACAACAGAACACCATTTGATCTTGTGAGAGAAGACACCGGGTTATCCAACCCCCCTCAAAATTCTTCCTATAGGTCAGTGTTCTGCCTGGCTACCCACAGAGAACATCAGACAAGTGCTCCATCTGTGTTTTTAGTCATGTTATAGTGGGAGAAACATTCCTCTGAGCTGTACTAATTAGAGAAGAAAATTATTCAGACTAAAAGAATAGGTACCCCCTAAAGAAAATTCCTACATTTATCCTGATGTCACTCACCATTCTCTAGCTGTCCCTGCGTTACGCCAGACATTGTTGGGTCCTTGAGGTGTCTTAGAAATTGTCTCAACTTACAAACAACTTTATGTGAGACTTGTCTGAGATTATTTATTCATGTGTCCAGTCAATCAAACATATCATTAAGCACCTATAGTAGTATATATCTGTTAAGGACCAAAGATATTATCATGAGCAAAACAGACATTTTCCCTAACCTTGGGACTCTTAAAAAAGAAAGATACTCATTAAAGATTTATAAAATCACATGTAACTACAAACACTAATGGTGAGTGTGAAGGAAAAGAAATGGGTTCATTGTTTTGGATAAAAGGAAAACTTGCTATGATATGAGATATTGGAGAGATTTTCTATGGAAGTGACAATTTTGTTGAGATTTAAGGATGTTAAATTGTAGTTCAGGAGAAAAGAAGTCACATGAATTTGGTGCCAGATGAGAAGTGAGAAAGAAAATAGACAATGTGAGAAAGTGAATGAAGGCTGTGGGGGCTGGAGAGCATTGAGTGCGGAAAGGTCATAGAAGAAGGCTGGGGCCACATTATCCAGGGGCTTGTTAGACACAATGAGCATTTTGATCATCATATGCCAAAAGCTAGGAAGAGATCCTAAGATTACTGCTTTCAAGTTAAGTTCTCCAGGGCAGAAAACCTGAGTTCAATATAGAATTCTTGCATTGATTACCTGTATGAAATGAAGTTAGAAATTTCCTATTGTCAGAATTTCAAGTAAATCAACAAGCTGAAAAAATGAGCATAAGTTACCTGCAAATTATAAAGAAAGCAGTACTGAAGTATCAGAGACCCTTCCAAAGCTTATGAAAAGATTGCCAACTCTCCAGGACAGAGATTGTCAGTACTCACCATTATCCTTGTGCTTCTCTTCTTTTCTCAGCCACGCTTGTAGTTAGGTAGGGGCATGTGTCTCAGTTTTTGCTGGTAAAGATGTAAAGGTAAATGATATAATCCATCTACAGGCTTTGTGATTTTAAAATGTCCCCTTCGCCACCCCGTCCTTGATTTTCTACTCCAGGCCACTCTCTCCTGCCACAGCTGCTTTGGAAATCCACAGCCAGGATTCAGGATGGAGTGGAGCCATTAGATTACAATGTAAGTAAAAGGAAATATTTTGTTGTTGTTGTTAAGTCACTACTGTTTTGGAGACCATGGGGGTTGTTACTCATACAGCATAGAGCATTTGATCACTGCTGCATAATCAAACCACAAAATTTAGTGGCTTAAAAGCAATAAACATTTATGAGTTCAGTTTCTGCAGGTCAGGAATCTAAGCATGGTTTAGCTGGATGCCTCTGGCTCAGAGTCTCTCACAATCCAGTCAACTGTCAGCTAGAGCCTCAATCAAATCCACTAGAGAATAAACTGCTTCTGAAGTCACTCACAAGGTATTGGGAGGCCTGCAGGCTGCCAGAGATATCAGTTTCCTGCCATGTGGGTCTTTCCATAAAAACAGCTCAAAACATGGCAGCTAATGTCTCTAAGAGAGAGAAAATAAACAGTATAGAAGTCATAGTATTTTTGTAACTTAATTTCAGTAGTGTTATCTTATCATTTTTGCCATATTCTGTTCACTAGAGATGAGTCAGTAGCTCCAGCCCACACTTAAACAGACGGGATTCTACAAGGGATTGAATACCACGAGATGAAAATTATTGAGTGTCTGCCATCCTAGAGGCTGCCTGCCACATGTAGTGCCCCCACCTACATGTTCCCAAATAGCCTACACAAAGGGAAAACAGATAATTCAGAAACAAAGGAAATTGGAGCATATCAGAGTAAGAAACTGTAGGGTGCAAATTATGGCTTTTTTATGTCCTCTCTCGAAGCTTCTTGCATACCTCCTGCCAAGTAAATGTGGATTGAAAAGAACCAACCAGAGAGTCTAGGTTGATGACTCTGAGCTGAAGAAACATGCATGCTCATTTCTATTCTGTGCCCAGAGCAGAGTGACCTGAATGCAGTACTGTAGAAGATGTCAGTAGGGTTATGGAAAGTAAAGTTTGAATTAGACATAAGATTGAAATTTCTTAGAAGCCTCACCTAATAATGTGGGACACCTAGATGTGGATGCCTGCATCCTATTTAGCAAATTCTAAAGTAAAGGATGACTAGAATAGCTCAATATGACAGGGATGAGACAGGTTATGAAGGGAGCCACTTATAACCCAGTGTGGTATGTCAAGAATCCATAAGTCTCCCAAGGTCCAGCTGGAGGTGACAGATGATACATAGGATTTAGCCGTTGTGGTGGATAGACTCCAAGGGGACTCCCAGTCATCCCAACCTTCTGGTACTCAAATCCTTATATAATCCCTTCCCTTTGAGAGTGGGTAAAACCTGTGATTTGTGTAACCAGTGAAAAAAGCCAAAGTTGATAGGATGTCACTCCTGTGATTATGTTACATCCTATAAGACTGTCTTGTGAACAGTCTGCACTAGAGACTCTACTTGCTGGTTCTAGAAAGTAAGTGGCCATGTTGAGGCATTCCACTTAGGCAAGGAATGGCAAGTGGCCTCTAGGACCTGAGGGCAGCTGCCATCTGACAGCCAGTAAGAAGCTGAGGTTATAAGTGCTAAAGACACAGGGAAATGAATTCGGCCAACAACCTGAGAGAAATTGAAAACAGATTCTTCCTCAATTGAGCCTCTAGATAAGAATGTTGCCCTTCCTGCGCTTGGATTGCAGCATTTTGAGACTGAGCAAAGAGCCCAATTGAGCTGTGCCCACACTCCTCACCCAAAGAAACTGTGAGATAATAAATGTGTGTTGTAGTTTGTGGCAAGGTGAATGCAGCAATAGAAAACTACTACAACCATCTTGAAGGTGTTCTTTCCAAGAGCAAACCTCTTAGGATGAGGGATCTCCAAAAAATAGAATGAAAGTCATGTACTGTCAATGGCAGAAAGGGTTGTTGGGGCAGCGGGAAAAATTGTTGTTAGTGCCAAGAACTGTGCAGGCAACAAACTATTAAAATCATATAGAATAGGGGAATGTTGTGAGCTGAAATGTGTTCTTCTTAAAATTCATGTGCTGAAAAGCCTAACCCTCAGTACCTCAGAAGGTGCCTGTATTTGGAGATAGGGCTCTTTTAAAAGTTGGCTGGGCATGGTGGCTTAAGCCTGTAATCCCAGCACTTTGGGAGGCCGAGGTGGGCAGATCACCAGGTCAGGAGTTCGAGAACAGCCTGGCCAACATGGTGAAACCTCGTTTCTACCAAAAATACAAAAATTAGCTGGGCATGATGGCAGATGCCTGTAATCCCAGCTACTCAGGAGGATGAGGCAGGAGAATCGCTTGAAACTGAAAGGCGGAGGTTGCAGTGAGTCGAGATCGTGCACTGCACTCCAGCCTGGCGACAGAGCTAGACTCCATCTCAGAAAAAAAAAAAAAAAAAAGGTGGTCAGGGTTAATAAGGCTGGGTCCTAATCCAATATGACTGATTCTTTTAAGAAAAGAAAAGGTTGCCACACAGTGAGACAGCAGGGATGCATGTGCACAGAGAAAGGACTATGTGAGGGCACAGTGAGGAGGTGGCCATCTGCAAGCCTCAGAAGAAACCAAAACATTGACACCTTGATCTTGGTCTAGCCTCCGGAACTGTGAGAAATAAATTTCTGTTTTTTAAGCTACCTAGTTTGTGGTATTTTGTTATGGCAGTCTTAGCAAACAAATACAGGGGATATCTTTACAACACATATGAGTAACAAAATATTTAAACTCAGAATACAGATGGTCCCTGACTTATCATGGGTCAACTTACAATTTTTTGACATTAAGATGGTACTCTTACAACCATTCTGTTTTTCACCTTAAGTACAGTATTCAATAAATTACATGAAGTGGCCAATACTTTGTTATAAAATAGGCTTTCTGTTAGATGACTTTGCCCAACTGTAAGCTAATGCAAGTATCTTTGTTTTTGCTGTTTATAACAGAATACCTGAAACTGGGTAATTTATAAAGAAAATTAATATCTTTCTTACTGTTATGGAGGCTGAGAATTCCAAGGTCAAAGGGCCACACCTGATGCAAGCCGTCTTGCTGATTGGGACTGTGAAGAGCCAGAGGTGGTGCAGGGCATCACAGGGTGAGAGGGCTGAGCACGCTAACATGCTAGCCCAGCACTCTCTTTCTCTTTTTTTATAGAGCCACTGGTTCCGCTACATGATAACCCATTCACCCATTCATCCATTCATCTATTCATGAAGATAGAGTCCTTGTGATCCAATCACCTCTTAAAGGCCTCCCCTTTCAATATTGCCACATTGGGGATTAAGTTTTTAACAGATGAAATTTGAGGAACACATTGAAAACATACCAGTAAGTGTTCTGAATATGTTTAAAGCAGGTTAGGCTAAGCTATGATATTTGGCAGTTGAGGTGTATTAAATATATTTCCAGCGTATCATATTTCTAACTTATGAGTTTATTGGAATGTAACCTGATAATAAGTTGAGAAGCATAAGTACATGAAGAATTCCTAGAAATAATAAGAAAAAGATAATCCAACACAAAAATGTGCAAGGTAATTGAATAGTCAGCAATGTATAGATATTGCTAACATGAAAAGTTGCTTAAATCATAATTATTATCATAGAAATAAAAATTAAAACTACCCCCAAGAATGAAGAGAAAGATATTAACAATTAAGTGTTACTGGAGTAACTAGATAATTCAAATATTGCTAATTAGAGTATAAATTGTTATTAACACTTTGAAAGTTTGACAGTGATAACTGGAAAGTTTAGCATATGCATAACCCCTGACCCAGCAATTCCACTTCTGGGTAACATGTTACATGTGTGCTTCTAAAAACATATACTAGAATGATCATAGCAGCATTTATATAATGACTCCGCTGCTGTCTGAATGATTCTGTCTTCTCCAAAACACATGTGTTGAAATCCTTCCCCCCAGGGTGATGATATTAGAAGGTGGAGTTTGGGGAAGTGATTAGGTCATCAGGGCAGAGCCCGTATGAATAGGATTAGTACCCTTATGAAAGAGGCCCAAGAGAGCTCACTCACCCCTTTACCAAGTGAAGACATAGCAAGAAGGTGCCATCAACGAACCAGAAAGCAAGCCCTCACCAGACACTGAATCTGCTGGTGCCTTTATCTTGAATATTCCAGTCTCCACAACTGTGAGAAATAAATTTCTGTTGTTTATAAGCTACCCAGTTTATGGTGTTTTGTTATAGCAGCCCAAATGGACTAAGACAGGCTCCTAACTAGAAATTTTCATCCGTAATAAGAGAGTGAATAAATTGTATTAAAAATTCTGTATTCTGTAGAAATAATACAGCAATTATTGCTACATGCAACAACTTTTATGCATGTCACAAACAAAATTTGCAAAGAAAGACCGACACCAGCTTTATGACTACATTAAATACGTATTTGAGAAAGAACAAATTCTGTGGTTTTAGAAATCAAAATAGTGGTTACCTTTTGGATATAGTTCACTATGCATAGGATGGGGCCTGAAGGCATTTTCTGTGCTGCTGGGAGTATTTTATACTCATACTTGATTTGTGCTTACACAGGTGTGTTCACTTTGTCAGCACACTTTGGTGTGTACTTCTAAATTTACACACTTTTATGTCTATATGTTTTACTTCAATATCATGTATTTTTTAGAAGTAGAAACTCATTATACCATGTTCCAATAGGCTTTTGTATCTTTCCTGTTATATTGCTTTTTAAACAATGTTTGTGTCTAGAAAAATAAACAGACTTGATTATTTTCCACTACTACTCACTATACAAGTTTCAGGTTTGCTTCCTCCAGCAATTTCCCAGGGATTTTAATAATTCTAGACTATTTTTAGGTTCATTTCTTGGTTTTTATTGCTGATACTCTGCAGATAGTATGAACTTTGATCCTGGACCCAAAGCTGGCTTCATGGGCATGAGATCTGTTCAGTCTCAGAGGGCCCCACACTCAGAAAAGCTCCATGCTTAGTTTAATATTATGTTGTCCCCTTTTTGAGACTCTTGATAATTTTCATCTTTGAACTTGTGTCTTGTAAGTGAAGTCTGATGAGGCAATAATGCAGAGGAGATAGGCACAATATAGCTAGCTATCCACCTTCCTTGATGCCCTGTTCCCATATAATGCTCCATGAGTACACAAGTCCTGTGACTCTTGAGGTACGGGCGTTCAGCAAAACTCAGACAAGGAAAAAGCACGTTACCTCTACCACTGATTAATCAGGAGCACTGACAGCCCCAAAAGCCCACCCATTCTGATCAAAGCAGAACTTGCATCAAACAGGAAAAAACACAATTGCATTCTAAGAAACACCATGACCAAAGAGCACTGTCATATCCTTTCTTACTTGTGTTAATTCCCTGTACTAACTAGTCAACCACTGACACTAAAAATGATGACACAGCAGGAAAGGGAAAGATAGAACTACCCATTGTTCCTCTTCATTTCAGTGCCTATTTAGTTGTCTGTATATGTAGGTAGAAATGTTGGTAGAATGTGCATGTATCAATAAGATAAATAAAAGCAGTTGAGTTAGTTTTATACAGTTTCCACCGTTCTTGTAGAATAAAACACATAGGCATATACGAGCTGTGAAACATGAATTGTATAATTTCTGTGATTCATTATTCTAATACACATTCATATTTGCATTTAAAACTATCATTAGACACTATAAAAATTAAGGGTAAAATTCCAGCTAATTTAAAATTTTAGTGTGGTGTTTTTGTTTGTTTACTTAGAAAGACTTAAATAGTACCTAAAGTGTACCATAACACATCAATAGAGAGACTATGGAAGAAAGTAAAAATTTTTTATTTTAGCACCATTACCAGTAGTGGTTTTTTTCTTGCTTTATGAACAAGAGGCCCTGCGCTTTTATTTTGCATTGGGCCTAGCAAATTTTGTAGCCAGCCTTGCTTATATACCTGCTTGGTACATGTCTAGGATTCTTTTTCTCACAAATGGTGTATTTTTCCCACCCAAAGCATTAGACAAGTGACAAAGTTTTTATATATTTATCTGGGCCACAGAATAGAGTTTCTGTAATCCGTGAAGACAGTGAGTACCTAAATGTTTCTTGCTGTTAGCAGGAGCCTCTTACCTTGCTTCAGGGAGTATATCTGTTGCCAAGACTTCCATGAAAGGGTATGTAATAGCACCCTCTGATAGCTGACTATTCATTTCTGGTGACTGGAAATTTCTGTTTGTTTCAGTCTTAGCTGTAGTATTTATTTATTCTCCTTTATTTTGTCCCATAGCACATAAATTTTTAGTTAAAAGGGATTATACTAAATCAGATGTTTTTCTGCCATACCTCCAGAAGTCTTCGTCAACATTTTAAAATCATCAAATTCTTGTTATTTTATATTGCCCCCTAAAGTTGAAGATATGAGCTCACATATACCCTGTATCCACTTGTGCTGGACTTTATACCCACTGCTTCATGTTAAACTTTGGTAGCATTTATTCCTCTGTAGAATTTCATGTGCCTCATATAAACATTGACACTAGAGAACTGGTCACTTGAGTTCTTTGTTTGTGGATAATTCTTTAAAAAATAGCTAACAATAATAATGACAAAGCTAAATAAGCCATATCTATACTATGAATTCACCATACTTTCCTTTGAATCCCTTTCTGTCTAGAAAAGAATCTTCAAGTTTTTCTTTGCTTTTCTTTCTTCACTCTTTATAATCCAATGTGATTCTACATCTCTCTGGACAAACCAAGATATGACTTCTAATTTGTTTCAAACTATCACCACAGAAAAGAATTTTTATTTGTGAACATAGGTTAAGTGAAAAAAAAAAGAAACTTTATGTTTTCGCCTCTTCTGCACTAGGCTTATAAATAAGACAATTATTATGAAAGAGGCCAACTGTACAATCATAAAAACATTTAGTTATATAAATAAATTTATATATTTATTTAGAAATATGTTTAGTACATATTTATGTACTAAACACATATTGATTTATGTTTAGCATTGCATTTGGTGGAAAATTATAGAACTAATGACTTACGGTGGAAGAAAGAAATAATTTTTCATATTACAAAAACATCATAACTTAGAGATTGCTCACTTCAGGTCATTGACTCAACATACTTGGGGTTTTTTACATCTTCCTCATGGAGCAAGATGGCTGCTGATGCTCTGACCAACATTCATTTTTGCTTTAGGTTGGACATATTGCCATTCTTAACAAAACTGTAATTTATGTATTTGTTTTATCAAAGAAGAGAGAAGAACAACTATTCAGTAGGTAGTTAATAATGTCTAGCCCATTATTATTATTCGTGTTTTTTAAACAATTTATCAGGTTGTCAGAGTAATCCACTATTTTTCATTATATGCTAATGTGGACACCTTTGCTTTTCTTAGATTTGTAAATTGTTACCAACGGGTGGTTGGCATTTTACAATCATAAGAATCAAAGTTAGTTACTAAGTAGTGGAGTACCGGTTAGAAAGCTAGAAGCCAGTAAAATTAATTGAAATAAGAGAAACAGAATCTATGCAACTGGCCATTGATATTTAAACATTTTAATGTGTTCATTTTTATTTGAATATGAAAAATCTCAGGAAAATTCAGCTACTTGTTACAATAATAAGAACTAGCCATTCAAGTAGTTACAGCAACAATTTGCAAGCATTTCACATAGAAATAAAAGACACTATTCTACATTATGAAGTTTTTGTGTCCTGTAAAGAATTAAACAATTGGCTGGGTGCAGTGGCTCACGCCTATAATCCCAGCACTTTGGGAGGCCGAGGCAGGTGAATCACCTGAGGTCAGGGGTTTGAGACCAGCCTGGCCAACATGGTGAAACTCCGTCTCTACTAAAAAATACAAAAATTAACTGGGTGTGGTGGCACACACCTGTAATCCCAACTACTTGGGAGGCTGGGAGGCTGAGGCAGGGAGAATTGCTTGAACCCAGGAGGTGGAGGCTGCAGTGAGCCGAGACATGCCATTGCACTCCAGCCTGGGCAACAGTGCAAGACTCCACTCAAAAAAAAGCAAAAGGATTAAACAGTCAAATTGAAAGAATGCAATCTTAATTTGTTTGGCATTGAAATAAGAGACGATTATAGCATGACCTGAAATTCTTTTTTTTTAAGTTTTGGAAACATATTTTAAGTCAAAACATATGCCAATGTGTGGTCAATCACTTGATGTCTATGAAAGTTATTTCTAGAATTACCAATTCATGGTTAATTACAGCAATCAATGCAAAGGTTACAGATATATTAATCTAAAATGTTCCTGTGTCCTAATCCAAGAAGCTATAGATTTTAAAATAAATTACAAAGGAAAAAAATGCTTAATACATTTCCATCTAATCACAAGCTACAAGGCCATTTAGTATTAAATAATTCAGAAATGCTCTTGTCAGTGAATTAAGGTCAAGTGTGTTTGATTGTCTATTTAATGCCACAAGAAAAGGAGAGTGAAATAACTTTACGGGGCTGATGAAAGATAAAATAAAAGGTCTCTTTATTTATGACACCCTTTGTTGCTTCTCCACTGATCAAAATTGTCATACTAATACAAGAGTATTGTTTTTGAAAAATAAAGTAGTATGGAAAAGCATAAAATTAAAAGCTGTATTTTCTTTGCTCACATTGGCACCACACTCCTACTCTCACCTATCAGAGGCAACTTTTTAAAAATTATTATTATAGATTCAAGGGACACATGTGAAGTTTTGTTACACAGATATATTGTGTAATGGTGAGATTTTGGCTTCTAGTATGCCCTTCACCTAAATAGTGAACAAAGCAATCCTCAGAAAAAGAATAAAGCCAGAAGCCTCACACTACCTAACTTGAAACTACATTGCAAGACAATAGTAACCAAAACAGCATGGTACTGGTACAAAAATAGACACATAGATCAATGGAGCAGAATAGAAAACCCAGAAATAAAGCAAAATACCTTCAATCAACCCATCTTTGAGAAACTCAACAAAAATATACAATGGGGAAAGGATGTTCTATTCAAAGAGTGATGCTGGGAAAATTGGCTTGCCATATGCAGAGGAATGAAACTGAACTCCTATCTCTCACCAAATACAAAAATTAACTCAAGATAGATTAAAGACCTAAATATAAGACCTGAAAGTATAAAAACTCTAGAAGAAAACCTAGGAAAAACTCTTCTGGACATTGGACTAAGCAAAAAATTTATGACTAAGACCTCAAAAGCAAATGCAATGAAAACAAAAATAGACTAATACGACTTAAACTAAAAAGTTTCTGCAGAGCAAAAGAAATAACAGAGTACACAGACAACACATAGAGGCAACTATTTTAAATAATTTCTTCTTCAATTTTTTTTTTTTTTTTTTACTATTTCTTCAACAATATGATCCTCGTTTTCAATTATCTCCTTTAAAAGATACTTGGACTTTCCATCTCTATAAATCATGGCAAAAGATCTCACTCATATCCCCTCCTTCCATCTTAAAAGTGAGAACTTTTCTATTTTCCCTTCTTGCAAGTGTTGAAAATTATGTTCTTTTCTTCTATTAGTAATCTTTTTATAATTAAGCAATGTTCTTTTTCCTGTATTTTTTGCTTCATCAACATTACACAGTATCACTTAACACTCACAGTAGAAGTTGCAGAAATCAGAGCACTTACATTTTCCCGTCCTCTACTCCAATTCCATTTTCAATTTACTGATAACTATTTTTGTCACTTTAACACATTTGTAACAGAAAATGCCAACCCAAATTTAGTGACGGGTAATTTTGGCTCACTTTCACAAATCACATATACAATGGACTTTAACCACTTTCCTGTGGCTAGGGGGGACTATGATCCAACTCTGACAAACAAAATGCTGACGCGGGTGGATCACTTGAGTGTGTGAGCTGGGCTCCTGGATAAGATGATAAAAAGGGGTAGGCTCAGCTGGCTTGCTCCTTAGCATTTTGCTGCTTTATTCTTTCTCTTTCTGTCTACTTGAAATATGAATATAACACTTGGAAATATTATACACAGCCTTCCTTTGATAATGAGGAAAATCTTGAGAATGAAATTTACACAACAAAGATGGTGACAAATCTTGGATAGTTATTGGGTTTCTCCAAGAATTTTTCTGAGCACTTTTGTGAACCTTGACTTTCTTAACTGCAGATTTTTGGTTGCATGAGACAGCTGATTAAGCCCTTCTTTTCATTTTTTCCTTATTTTCAGGTAAAACCCTTCTTAATTGATTAAAGTGATTTAAATAAATAGAAGTATTCGTTGTTTACTTTTCTAGAAATACAGAAATAGGTGGTCTTGTGTTTAGTCTAGCAAGCCAAAAAATGTCTTTAAGTTCTCAGGCTTTTCTAGGTTTTCTCTTAAGTATCGCTGCTAGGTTGATTTATGGAACGCATATCTGTTATCTCTAAGTCTCACTATGAAAACTTTGGTAGCCATGGAGATGCACTGCTGAGGAATTCATCCAAGAGATTCTGCTACAGGGAGCAGAATTGACTGACAGTTCCAGCTGCTGTACCCTTGGGTGACCCAATTGTGTGAAAATTGAGACCACGATTCCCTCAGGCTATTCCCAGCACATGACTGAGCAACGCAGAGGTACTAGATTCAGGCCATTCCTTCCAAGTGATAGATTATTCTAATGGGAAAATTTGTCACAGGTGCACCCCATCAGCCTGAGACTGTCAGTCAGACACCTTCTAAAATAACACTGCATTCTGAAGCTTTTGCTACTTAATTCTTCCTTCCCCCTCTCTTTTGTAGTTGTCAGACCCATTTCATAGTGAGAAGTCTCTTCTTGAGCATTCTTGCTTTCTTCACCTTGATCTGTCGCAGACATTTCCCCTGATGGATCCCATGTATGTCTAATTCTGTCTTGGCATTAACTCCTTGGGACACTCAAACTAACACAGATGGCACTAGGAATGTAACAGAAAATAGTAAAAGTGGCCAGATGCAGTGGCTCATGCCTGTAATTCCAGCACTTTGGGAGGCTGATGCGGGTGGATGTCTTGAGTCTGAGTTCAAGACCAGCCTGGGAAACATGGTGAAACCCTGTCTCCACAAATAATACAAAAATTATCTGGGTATGGTGGCATATGTCTGTAGTCCAAGCTAATCAGGAGGCTGAGGTAGGAGGACCACTTGAGGCCAGGAGGCAGAGGTGGCAGTGAGCCAAGACAGCACCATTGCACTCCAGCCTGGACGACAGAGTGAGACCCTGTCTCAAAAAAAAAAAAAAAAAAAAAAAAGAGAGAGAAAAAGAAAAAGAAAATAGATAGTAAAATGATCTTAAGGACCAGCCCACTCCCTACCCCACTGGTAAGGATGATCCCACTCCACGTGGAATGTGTGGCACAAATGGCAGCTAAGTTGCTGAAAATTATCAGTGGAAAACTAGGTTCCAGTTGATAGGGATATTCTCATCAGTGTGAAGATTCAGGCCTCTGAGAAACGTGGAGGTATGGTGTTATAACATCAACAGGGTTGGCTAGCTATTACTAAATTATACTGATGACCTGAAGATGGATAATGAGCAAGCTAGAGTCATGAAAAAAGAATTAAAGCTTGAGTGAGAGAGCCAAGGAGACAGTTTTCCAGCTTAAAAACATTCAGTAGAAGAACAGTCAGTTGAGGAGCATAGTCAAGATTTGATCCAAGATGTCTAAATGCTCAGCCCAGGCAGGTCTATTATTGCCAATGCCAGGTAAAATGTAGAGTCTGGAAATATGGGATGGGAAACACCGGAGAATGTCCTAAGCATGTTGGCTTTCCAGAATCCTCTCCCCCAAACATTCAAGCTCGGAAAATTAACTCGCCCTTCCATTGAAAGAGCTAGCATTCCCTATGGCCCTCATTCTCCATATGCCTCTCTTCTGGAAAGCAAAGGAGTCCCCTCAAGAGTTGCCTTCCATCTCCCTTCCTGACGGCAAGGTCAATAACTAGGATTAAATCCCAGCACAGCCTGGCTGGAGAACTGCTGGATCTAACAAGGCAGGAAAGAGAGTACACCCTGAAACAGCCATAAGAATATTCTAGTAAGAGTCACAAGAGTATCCCAAGACTGCAATTTGAGGGTGCTTGATCAAAGTGTTAAAGCATAAGACTGGATAAACAAAATGCATTGACTGGGGGTACTTTCTCAGACATTAAATTTAACACCCTGGCAAAAAAACTTAGCTGCTAGGGTTGCTGCTCACAGAAGCATGGAAAAATTATAGTCAACACTCAGTGAAGTGCAAATGCCTGTACTGTCCTGGAAGATGACATAGGAAAGGCAAAATAGGAAAGTGAGGTTGGCTATGTAATTTTATGTACATTAAGTTAGAAAGACATCTAATTTAATGTACATATTGCAACCTGAAGGATGTCACCTCATCCTTATAAAATATTTCAGGATATGCAGTCAACGTGCTAACTGGGAGAAAATATTTTATAAGGATGAGGTGACATCTTTCAGCTTTCAATATACACATTAAACTAGAAATCTCCACATAGTGATGAGTTCACAATAAAAAAAACACATGGATCCAGAAACGGCTGGAAACAGGAGTGACCTCTTTTATTATTATATTCAGTTATACATAGGAGAATTTGTTCTCATCCTTGCATATCTGGGCTTTGCAGGGTTAGGGGTCATGGTCCTTAAATCTGGAAAATTTTACCAGGGAACACAGAAAAATCCCATTGAACAGGATATAACTACTGCAAGTACATTTTATAATTTTGGGTTTAGGAACCAGCAAGGAAGAAGAGGAGTCACCATATTGACCCTTGTATTTGACCCCAGTTGGCATACAGGAGACTGCTTTTACACAAAGGAGCAGGGAGGAATATATGTGAAACCCAGGTATGGCAGGCAGAATTCTAAGATTATTCTGAGGCTCTTCCCCTGTATAATTCTATGAATGTGATGTAATGTCATATATAGCAAAAGTGGATATTACAGAAGTAATTAAGGCCTCTAATCAATTGACTATCAGTGAATCAAAAGATATTATCCTGGGGAAGGCCTAATTTAGCTGAAAACCTTAAAGGAGATATTTGCCTTCTGCCTGAAAGAAGCAGTCATGTGGTGACTGCCTATGGGTAGGGTGCCTTCTAGGAGCTGAGGGTCTCAGTTCTATGACAGCATGGAACCAAATTCTCTTAAAAATCTGAATAAGTTTTAAAGTGAATCATTCCCCCTCTTGATCCTTTCAATTAAAAGGCATAGCCATAGCTGACACCTTAATTGAAGCCAAATGAGACTCTGAGCAAAACATTCAGTTGAGCCATGCAGAGAACCCTGGCCCATGAAGACTGTAAGGTAGCACATGTATGTTGTTTTAAGCTGCTAATTGTGTGGCATTTTGTTATGCTGGAAGCCTCTTGGCAAGCTCTGGTCTGAATATAGCTATGAGTTGATACGTGTGGTAATTTCTTGACTGAGAAGGTTATGATTACCAAGTATATTAGTCTGTTCTCACATTGCTATGAAGGTACTACCTAAGAGAGGGTAATTTATAAAAGAAAGAAGTTTAATTGACTCCCAGTTCTGCATGTCTTGGGAGGCCTCAGGAAACTTACAATCATGGTGGAAGGTGAAGAGGAAGCAGGCAATTCTTGACACGGGAGCAAGAGAGGGAACAAGGGAGACTATCACCTTTAAAACCATCAGATCTCATGAGAACCCACTCACTATCTGGAAAATAGCATGGGGAAAGCCACCCCCATGATCCATTCGCATCCTACCAGGTCCCTCCCTGGACACATGAGTATCACAATTCGAAATGAGATTTGGGTGGAGACACAGAGCCAAACCATATCACCAAGGGTTTAGACCCTCAGGAAAGAAGGTTTAGGCATACCCAACAGGTAACCTACAAGACCTGCCAAAGTGGTAAATATAAGTAGAATTTAAATCAGGTGATAGAAGATGAATAAGATGATTACCAATGGTAGTCCTGAGAGCTAAGGTATATATGGGGACTGCAGTTTAGCCCACAAGTTTAGTTAATGTTATCTAAGTTTCCTCCCAGGAAAAGGGATACATAGAAACCACGGAAAGCTGTTTTTCAAACAACTGTTATGAAATGAATCTGTGTGGTTCAAGGAGTAGACTTACATATCTATCTGCAAATTCATAAACTAACATCCTAGCTTGTAAATATTTTGAGAATGTGGGTGTCTAACATAAATTAGCCTGAAAAAGAAAATACTCTAGTGACCATGAAGGTATTCTGTGTAGTTTTTTCTTTCTTTAAGAAAATATTTTGGGCTGGACGCGGTGGCTCACGCCTGTAATCCTAGCACTTTGGGAGGCCTAGGCGGGTAGATTGCCTGAGCTCAGGAGTTCAAGACCAGTTTGGGGAACACGGTGAAACCCTGTCTCTACTAAAATACAAAAAAAGAAAAATAGCCAGGCTTGGTGGCATGTGCCTGTAATCCCAGCTACTTGGGAGGCTGAGGCAGGAGAATCGCTTGAGCCCAGGGGATGGAGGTTGCAGTGAGCCGAGATCAAGCCATTGCACTCCAGCCTGGGCAACAAGAGCCAGAATCCATCTCCAAAACAAAAACAAAAACAAAAACAAAAGAAGAAGAAGAAAATATTTTGTGAGAATCAGAGCTGCTGACGTTTGGGGTTCACTTTGGCATATAGACCGAGACCATTGTTCCCTGTGCCTCCCGCCAGGCAATGACCAAACACAATGAGTGTACTAGTTTTGGAATGTGCCAAGACCTGTTTCCTCTAATGGGAAACTTTTGCTGTAACTCCCCATTGGCCTAACTGACACATTCACAGGACTTCACTATGATCTGGGTTCTCTTAATGCATTCTTTTCTTCTCTCTCTCCCTTTTAACTGTAAAATCTGCATCATGTTTAGAAGTTTCTCCCCACTCCACTCTCTTCCTTCATTCTCAATCTGCTGCCACTTGTGTGTCTAATCTTGTCTTGACTTCTATTTCTTGGAGAACTCAAATTAAAACAGATACAAAATCTAAAGCATCACGTTCTTATTCACGTATTCAAGAGTATAAAAGAGGTTGCAATTTCTAACATAACCCTAGCCATTTCTCCTTGGTATCTATTTCTTTTAACAAGAAATCGACTTTTTTTCCAGAAGAATTTCAGCAGATATTCTTCAAGGGAGCCTAGTAAAGCAACTATTTGGGTTTTCACACTTCATAGTAGTAGGTAGAATGGAAGACAGTATTTAAAAATGGCTATCCAAAGATAAAAAGAATTTTGAAAAAAGCTAGATCAAAATAATTCATTATATATGTGTATATATATGGATAATTATTGACTTTAAACATAAACATAAAATACTTAGGCATAAGTTTAACAGAAAATGCATATAAAATCTGTATCTTGAAAACTAGGTTGTTGAGATTAAATAAGATGTAAACTACATGTGGAGAATAATGTAATAAGAGTTGAGACGGAATTACTTAGGCAGTTAGCAAGGGCATGGGAGTCCTCTGTAAGGTTTTTGTGTGTGTGTGTGTGTGTGTGTGCGCGCGTGTGTGTGTGTGTGTGTGTGAGCAATAAAGCTTTTTTTTTTAATGAAAGCAGTCCCAACTCATTTTCTAACAAAGAGCAGCCTGTTAAGTCAAGCTGCAGACATAGACAGGCAAGCTGGGTGAATGCCAGCAGGAACTAGGGGCTAGACGTGTTCAAGATGACGGCCCCCATCTTCACTTCTTTTGTCACACACATGTACGTGTGACAGGTTGACGCTGAGCCACTGGAAAGCTCATTTGCATAATAATATAAGCGTGGGGAAACCAGCCTTCCCTGAGGGCCTTGTAAACGTCATAGCCAATCGAACCAATCTGTGAGCCGTATTTGAAAATACAAAACCAAAAGACAAAATAAAAATCATGAAAAGGAATGAAGAACACCTATGAGATGTAAAGAATAACCCCCAAAAAGCAAACCTAAGTGCCGTTGGCATTCAACGGGGAGTTGAGAAAGAGCAAGAGGTCAGAAGTTTATTCAAAGAAATAACAGAAAACTTTCTAAACCTAAAGTAAGATATAATTATTCAGGTACAAGAAAGATAAGGATTATCAAGCAGATTCAACCCAAATAAGACATATAATAATCAATTTCTCAAAGGTCAAAAGACAGGGAAAGGATCCTAAAAACAGCAAGAGAAAAGCAACAAATAACACATAAAGGAACTCCAAGTTGTTTGACAACAGACTTCTCAGCAGAAACCACACAGGACAGAAGGGAGTGAGACAGCATGTTCAAAGTGCTGAAGAGAAAGAACTATCAACCAAAAAAGTGTACTCAGTCAAATTTTCCTTCAAACACAAAAGAGAGATAAAGTGTTTCCCAGACAAACAAAAACTAAGGAGTTTCATTACTACCAGAACTGTCTTACAAGAAATGCTACAGGAAGTTCTTCAATTTGAAAGAAAATGTGCAAAAAGAAAACATTCGAAGTTATAAAACTCAATGGTAAAAGTAAGTACACAGGCAAATTTAGAATACTTTAATACTGTAATTGTGGAGTAACTCTAGTATGAAGACTAAAATACAAATCTATAAAAAAAGAATAACAAGAGCAACCTGTAAAGAGATAAAAAATATAAAAAGATGTAAATTGAGACAAAAAAGGCAAAATGGGGGGGAAGGAATTAAAGCATGGAGTGTTTCAGCTTTTCCTTTATTTTCTTTCAATTAAAGTTAAGTTGTAACATGTTTAAAATAACTTGTTATAAGATTTTTTGGAGGAAGCTTCATGGTAATCACAAAGCAAAATCCTATAATAGATACATTAAAACGAATAAGCAGCAAATTAAAACTTCTTATCAAAGAAAAATTGCTTAACCACAGAGAAAGACAGTAAGAAATAAAGAAGGAAAAAGAGGAGTTAAAGAACAACCACAAAACAAGTAACAAAATTGCAAACAATGTCTTTACTTATTTATAATAACATTGAATGTAAATGGATTAAATTATCCAATTAGAATGCATAGAGTAGCTGAATGAATAAAAACATTAAAAAAATAAAAGTAAGACTCACTTCATTTATAAAAGACACACATAGACTAAAAGTGATATGATGGAAAATAGATATTCCATGCTAATGTAAAACAAAAAAAATCAGGATTATAGGTACTTATATTAGATGAAATAGACTTCAATTCAAAGACTGCAAAAAGAGACAAAGAAAGTCACAATATTGAAATAAAGGGACTAATTTAGCAGGAGGATATAACAATTTTAAATAGATGTGCACATAACACCAGAGCACAAAATATATAAAGCAAACATTAATAGATCTAATGGACAGATAAACTTCAAAATAATAATAGTAGAGGACATCAGCACTCCACTCTCAATAATGTACACATCAATGAAGAAATATTGAAATTAAACCATGCCCTGGACCACATGAGCCTAACTGACATTTATAGAACATTTCATCCAATTGCTGCAGAATATACATTCTTCTCATCAGCATATAGAACACTCTACAGGATAGACAATAAGTTAGGCTATAAAACAAATTTCAACAAATTAAAAAATTTGCAATTATATCAAGTATCTTTTCTGACAACAATGGAATAAAACTAGAAATAAGTAACCGGTGGAACTTCAGAAAATATAAAAACACATGGAAATTAAACAACATGCTCTTGAAACATCAATGAGTAAATGAAAAAATTAAGAAAAAAATTTAAAATTTTCTTAAAACAAATGAAAGTAGAAACACAACATACTAAAATCTATGGTATACAGCAAAGCTGTAGAAAGAGAGGAATGTGTAGTAATGAGCTCCTCCATCAAAAAAATAGAAATATTTTAAATAAATAACCCAATGATGCACTTCAAATAACTAGAAAAGCAAGAATAAACCAAACTCCAAATTACTAGAAGGAACAAAATAAAGATTAGGAAATAAATAGATGAATTTGAGACTAAAAGAACAATAAAAAAGATTGTTATTGTTAAAATATCAGTATTACCCACAGTGATGTAGCGATTCAGTGCAATTTCTATGAAAATATCAATGACATTCTTCCCAAAAATAGAAAAAAAATCTAAAATCTAAAATGAAACCACATACAATCCTGAATCGACAGACAAATGCAAATTACAACCAGAGTGGAATCTAAGCACACACCCGTTAGAATGGCTACTAACAATAAGATGCAGGATAAGTATCAGAGAGAATGGGGAGAAAATCTGAATCTTTGCATACTGTTGGTGGCAATAGTACAGAAAACAGTGTGGATGTTCTTCAAAAAATTAAAAATAGAACTACCATATGATCCCTCAATCCCACTACTGGGTATAAATCCAAAAGAAGTGCCATCAATATGTAGAAGAGATATCTGCCCTCTCATAGTCATTGCTGCATTATTCACAATAGCCGAGGTATGGAATCAACCTGTATCCATCAATAGAAGAAAGAATAAAGAAAATTGTGGTAAATATACACAATGAAATACTATTCTTTCTTTAAAAATATGGAAATTCTGTAATTTGGAGCAATATGGATGAACTTGGAGGATGTTATGTTAAGTGAAATAAGCCAGAAAGAGGAAGACAAATATCACATGACCTCACTTATACGCACTTATGTGCAGTATAAAAAAGTTGAATTCATAGAAGTACATTGGTAGTTACCAGGGTCTGGGTGGGTCATGGAGAGTTGGGGCAGGTTAGTCAAAGGATACATAATTTCAATTAGATAGGAGTAATACGTTCAAAAGATCTGTTGTACAATATTGACGATGGTTAATAACAATATATGGTATTTAAAATTGCAAAGAAAATAGCTTTTAGATGTTCTTACCAGAAAAAAAAATGATAATAGCTTTATTCAGCCATTTCACAATGTATAAATATTTGAAAACAACATGTTGTACATAATAAATATAATTTTAATTTGTCAATAAAAATAGAATAAAATCATTTTAATTAAAAAATAATCTTTGGGTATATACCCAGTAAGGGGATTGCTGGGTCAAATGGTATTTCTAGTTCTAGATCCTTAAGGAATTGCCACACTGTCTTCCACAATGGTTGAACTAATTTGCAATCCCACCAACAGTGTAAAAACATTGTTATTTCTCTACATCCTCTCCAGCATCCCTGACTTTTTAATGATCACCATTCTAATTGGCGTGAGATGGTATCTCATTGTGGTTTTGATTTGCATTTCTCTAATGACCAGTGATGATGACCATTTTTTCACATGTTTGTTGGCTGCATAAATGCCTTCTTTTGAGAAGTGTCTGTTCACATGCTTTGCCCACTTTTTGATGAGGTTTTTTTTTCTTGTAAGTTTGTTTAAGCTCTTTGTAGATTCTGAATATTAGCCCTTTGTCAGATGGATAGATTGCAAATATTTTCTCCCATTCTGTAGGTTGCCTGTTCACTCTGATAGGATTATAAATCATTCTACTATAAAGACACATGCATATGTATGTTTATTTGCAACACTATTCACAATAGCAATGACTTGGAACCAACCCAAATGTCCATCAATGATACACCGGATGAAGAATATGTGGCACATATACACCATGGACTACTATGCAGCCATAAAAAAGGATGTGTTCATGGCCTTTGCAGAGACATGGATGAAGCTGGAAACCATCATTCTCAGCAAACTATCACAACAACAGAAAACCAAACACCGCATGTTCTTACTCATAAGTGGGAGTTGAACAATGAGAACACATGGACATAGGGAGGGGAACATCACACACTGGGTCCTGCCAGGGGGTGGGGGGCTAGGGGAGGGATAGCATTAGGAGAAATACCTAAGGTAGGTGACAGATTGATGGGAGTGGCAAACCACCATGGCACATGTATACCTATGTAACAAAACTGCACGTTCTGCACATGTACCTCAGAACTTAAAAAAATAAATAAATAAATAATCATCTAGTAAAATGGGTCAAAAGAAAGACAAACAGCAAACACATGAAAAAAATAGTATTTATATTCAAATAAATATAAATATAAACAATAATGGGCTATTTTCCTTTTAAATTTTAATTGCTTTTAATAATAATACTCACCAACATGACTTTACTGCTCTCATTTACTGTTTGGTTGTCAACTTTTTAAGAAGCAATTAGGCTATCTGAATTGAAATCCTAAAAAGTCATGGCTTTTCATCTCATAATTCTACTTTAATGTATCAATATGGGAATACATTAAAGATAGGGAAAATACGTTGAAGGATGTCTATTAAATAATGTTTATGACAGCAAAAATAGAAAACCAAGATGATAACAGAATTATCTAATATTTTAGCCAGGTGTGGTGGCTCACACCTGTAATCTCAGCACTTTGGGAGGCTGAGGTGGGCAGATTACTTGAGGTCAGGAGTTCAAGACCACCCCGGCCAATATGGTGAAACCCCATGTCTACTAAAAATACAAAAATTAGTGGGGTGTGGTGGCATGCCCCTGTAATCCCAGCTACTAGGGAGGCTGAGGCAGGAGAATCGCTTGAACCAGGGAGGTGGAGATTGCAGTGAGTCGAGATTGCGCCACTGCACTACAGCTGGGCCCACAGAGCGAGACCCAGTCTCAAAAAGAAAAAGAAAAAGAAAAAAGATCTAATATTTTAATATTGATAAGATATTATACCAGGATTCTAATGCCAATAATAAGGCTTTTGGAAAATATTTAATGGTGTGTTTTAGATTTAATTTTTTTAAATATGTAGAATTAAAGCTGAATTGAGAGTATGATCTCAATATCAAAGTATTTTATTGATTTTATTATTAATATTTTGACACAAGACATACTTTTTGTCACTCTAAAGTATTCATATATTTTATAATACAATGGATATATTGTTATTTAAAGATTTTATAAAATGTACATATTTATAATTTCCTTTTTCCTCTTGCAGTGTACTTCTTTAGGTTTCATAATGTTTCAAGATATGACACAGATTTTGTATGAAATAATGCATACTGCTATGAAAATTTAAACTAGAACTTGTTTAAATTTTCAAGTTATGAATTGGTCATTCTGATATGATTGTATAACTTAAAAAATATAAAGCTTGTATTCTTTTATTACCAGAATTATATTATTAATTTAATTGTATGAAACAACTTAAGAGGTCTGTGTATATTATTGTAATTACTAAACCAAAAATTTTCTGTTTCTTTTTTATCTCTGGAAAAAAATCACAAGCATTATTTTGACAGAATTTTCTTTATTTGGTCTTACTAGGTCAATTTAGAATATAGTTAGAAATATAAATTGGCTTTTTTGGTATTTTAATTTTATTTTATTCTGTGATAAACATGAAACACACTGTTAAAATTATCTTCTGTGTAACATAATTTGTAACACTTAACTAAACCTTATTGTATATTTTCCTTTGTTCTAGATATATTTAAATATCAATGATTCATTCATTATAAATTGATAATTTAATTTTATTTAATTGCATTTTATCCTTAATATTAAATTGTTATTTCCAAATGCTTCTTTTACATGTTTTTTTGTGAGAACAAAAATGGATTTTCAAAATATGAAGCAGAGCCCCTATTGTGACCATTTTGTATACATTAGATTTTCAGGTTACTCAAGATTTAGATAGGCTGATTGCTTTAAAATTGATTGACTCACTGAAGAGATTCTTTTGGAACTGAATACATAGTATTGGGAGCCTACTGAATTTCAATAGCAGCAAGATGTTTCAGATTATCTCAGTAGTATTTTGTACATCAAAGCATGCAATATTAAAATGAGTTCACTACATTCACCTTGGAATAATGTGGAGCTGCAGGAAGCTATGAGGTTGCATACAATGTGTACAATTCTATTGGGAGAAAAATGTTTTCAAATCAAAACAAGGTTAAAAGACTTCATCATTTATTGAGCCCTGAAACCATTATCTGCCCCTTGAGGAGCAAGGGGCCTGTGTCTGAATGACTGCCAGCATTAAGTACTTAATTTTTGAAGTGCTACTTTTTATGCACAGGCAAAAAAACCCCACATACACATAGATATAAACACTTACACAGATACATTTAAAAAGTCATTTTATATGAATGCATTGAGTGTTGTTAGACCATGAACAATCATAAGAAATTGCTAAACATAGCTGAAAAACAATGATGGACTGACTCTCTGAAATACACACATATATGAACAAATGTACACACACACAAACACACACACACAGGCATTTTCCTTTGAATACGTTATTGTAAATATCTCCAGGCATGTCCTTTCTTTAATGTTAGTGAGATTTGGGCGCTTAAACAGAATGCTCCAGGGTTATGAGAAACACCTAAGTATTTGATTTCATGTAATGACATGATTAACATATGAATATTTGCTATACTCTCTAAAGATTAGCTTATCAGTATTTTATTTAAAGAATACAAAATAATCATAGTAGGAATAAGTATATGCACTCAAAATATCCTCTGGTCATTTGAAAAGCCTTAATGCTGAGTATGCTGGAAAATGTGGAGTAATTCACTAGTTTATTTTACGAGAATAAGAAAATATCAAGAATAAATATTAACTTTTATATTTCTCAAAATAAAGATTAGTTTATGTTTTCCTTTGGTGAGCTAAAGAGGTCTTTAATATAACCAACTATAATGATGTGGTTAGCATATGAATTATGAGCTCAGATATGAAGCAATAACTGTGGGAGATTACTTAGTATGAAATCTCTCATCCAAAGATACAAATATGTAGGGGAAAAGTGTTCTAAAAACAGAAAACTTCACTTCAGGTGTCTGCTATTGGCAATGTCATGTAATAAAGTAGTTGGCATTGATCTATGTTTTCATAAATCCTGTGGTTTTCTGCAGGCTTATTAGCAAAGTGTACTTTGTAAAGTTGCAGGTTCGAATGTCTTTCTAAGGGTGAGTGCTTCTCACAATGAAGAAAGAAGAGTGCCCTTGCTTTTTCAGCAGTTGTTATAAGTGGCTCCCAATGGTTTTGCAAAAGAAGGCAGAGCTAAGATAAAACTGACCTTAAGACACTTCAAGATCCTCTCTCCCACCACCTGTAAAATAGCAGCTTTAATAATACTCCAGCACTCAGTTTTCAGGTTCATTATAAAAGTTAATGGAACAGCCAGGTTTGAGCGCAAATTGCAGTTGCTAACTCCTTCACCGAGAATATATCATCACAACCCTTAGTAGGAATGACAAGTAGTACAAAAGCACTGCAGAGTCAAGGCTTAAACGGATTTCATTGCCAGTTCTACGATAACACAAAACCCTATTCCATCTCCTATTTATTTCAACTTTGATAGTCTTTTGTTATTCGTTTTAATACAACTTATCTTTATTTGTTTTTTGCAATACTTGTATGTTAAGATTACTAGCAAGTATATACATTTGATAATTTTTAAGTGATTTTCCCTAAAATCAATGAAAGATTTTTCTATTTCTTGATTGCCAATGTACTAAAATCGAATTGTTTTATCTTTCTGATTTTTGAATAAAATGTGGTCTTTTGTGACTGATTTAATGTCTGATAAAGAAATTCATTTACCTTAAATTTCATTTGTGTGAGCCTGTGCAGTCAGTCACCTGTGTGCGTATGAATAATACAAACAGGAGTGGCTACCTGCATGGGCTTTGAAATTTGACCTTTGCTGGTTGATACTGGCTGCCCACTTTCAACATTTGTGAAAAAGATCATAGTGTATAGTATCACTTTATTGAATTATTGCAAGCAGTGTAATTTAACATTATAATCACCCAATGGACAGTAATCATTGCTGTAGTTTATATTAGGACAAAGGGAAAAGGATGCATACCTGTGCACTTGATTTTAATGATAAATTTTTTGTGTCATTTGATTTTGTATTCATGAGCAATTATAATTTGAAATATTAATTAAATAGACCCTGTAACATTGCCCAAGCATCTGTTGCAGAACTCCCCACTGGATTGGCCATTGGTCTTCCTACTTACTGTCTGCTTTGTCCAGGTCGCCAGATCTACCTGGCTGGAAACCTAAAGAGCCATTCTAATGTTGTTCCCACAGTCAAGTTCCCATTGCTAACTTCACTTCTGGCTGAAGTCTTAGTTATATTGACGGGACCCCACTCCGCTCCCAGTGCAAGTTTCTTTGCCTCCTTTCTTAGGAGAGAATGGCTCTGACCAGTGCTGAGTTTTCATGAGCAATAGCAGGTCTGGCAATGGACACACTTGGATGACTAGACTTTTATGGGGTGAGAGCAAGGAATGTGAATCACAAGTAAGACAGATCTGAGGCTATATCTCTGGGACTGGCTAAGTTTAGGAAAGAAAAGACTATTGAAGAGTCAAGTTCAAAGAAATGAACAATGTGCAAAGCCAAGATCCTCACAATAAAGACGGAAAGTGAGAAAGCATGCAGCTAGCTTAAAGAGCATAGGCCTGGAAGGCTTCCCCAAAACAGCAAGCAATGGCTTGCAGGCTGAAGTCCTCTCCTTTATGGAGCCTGCTCTGGAATCCATGAGAGTTGTTGAGAGCCCAGGTCACTTTGGAGAGCTACTATCTCCAGGCCTTCATCCAGAAGTTAAGTTCAATCAACCTTTGTGAATCCTGGATATAGGATCTCAGTGCTGATCACTTACCTCTCACACTCTCGCATTTGAAATTTCCAGTATGTGGATACTATTAGCAGGACTTCAGAGGCCAATTTCCTGAGCCTGATATCCTCTTTCAGTCTCTATGCTTGGAAACTCACTTTTGATCATTGCATGCCCATTTTGTTTCCAAGTCTGGATTTTTTTTTTTTTTTTTTTTTTGAGACAGAGTCTCACTCTCTCTCCCAGGCTGGAGTGCAGTGGCACGATCTCGGCTCACTGCAAGCTCCACTTCCCGGGTTCATGCCATTCTCCTGCCTCAGCCTCCCAAGTAGCTGGGATTACAGGCACCTGCCACCACGCCCAGCTAATTTTTTGTATTTTTAGTAGAGACAGGGTTTCACCATGTTAGCCAGGCTGGTCTCGATCTCCTGACCTCGTGATCTGCCTGTCTCAGCCTCCCAAAGTGCTGGGATTACAGGCGTGAGCCACCTCACCTGGCCACCAAGTCTGGATTTTGAAGTTTAACTCTCTTCTATGTGTCCCAGACCCCAGCCATAGATTCTTGCTGTGTTTGCTGTTATGAGTATTGTTCCTATAATCTATATAAGGATCCAAACCTGCTTTTACCACTTCTTATGCAAGACATTGCAATCCTAGGAGTATCATCACAGTGGCTGGAATTAGTATCTGTTCAAAACTTCCAATTCCAGGTATAACCTATACTATACTCTCCATTATCACCTATTTCTCATGGTTGGAACTCCCTATACATTCTTCCTAATGACTACTTATGCCATTTTTTACATTTTTCATACCCATCTGAATTTGTGTATTCATTATATGCTTTGGGGTCTTGCTCCTTTATTCCTGTATATCTGTTGCCTGGTCTTTGGGTTCCAAAACATAGAGATCTTCTCCAGTAGCTTCAAGTAACTGAGGATTTATAGTAAGAATATGTCTGTGTAAGCAACTAGAACTATGAAATAATAAAGAACCAATGTATTCATAAGGGGAAATTTTATTAATCTGCCTGCATCAGCAATATAATCTTTTCCTGTTTCTCATGTCATCTCTCTTTCTCCACATAGCTATTGACTCTATTGACCACCTTTACCTGGTAACTTGAATTATTTGCTTCCTTATAATTTGGCTGGTGTTTCACTTTAGCTTCCTCAGCCCTTCCTTGTCTCTCTCATAACTGTTTTGTTTCAGATCTCTCTTCACTCTAACAAAAGTCTTATTATGTTTTATGTTTCACAGTTCAGATACCTAGCCACTAAATAAGATTGTTCAACTATACTTCCTGTCAATCCACAGGTCATAAGTTAGAGGCAAAAGGCCATTATTCAATTTATTAAATTGGTTATGCTTGGGTCAAGTGGTTACCACTGGACCAATCAGCTGTGAAAAGAAAAGGAGGCACAGGGTCACAGGATGTAATATGGCTGCAAAGGCTCATGTCTCAGCAGGGCATGCAGGCAGGGCAGTGATTGCGGTATCTCTTGTATACTCTTTTCCCGGAGGTATTTATTTCTAAATCTCTGAATCCCAAGAATTACCAGAAAGCACATTTTCAAACCCCTTGACATCATCTGCTGCCAAGGATATTTACTTAATTTTATTCTTTTAGCAGTTAGTTTGATCCAGATTATGAAGAAATGTTATTTAGAGATATCAGAAAGATTTGTTCTTAGCAGTTATTATGTAGATAAAAATGACTTAAGGCAAGCCAAGACTTTGAAAATAATTATTCAAATACCAAGGAAAGTTAGATTTATTTTTAAGTAATCCATGTGAAATGAACAATAGCAGGAGGACTGGCTCTTAACCATTTTTATCTGCTAAAGATTATAGATCTGTGTGCTACATAATTAATCATCCTTTTTTTTTTTTTTTTTTTTTTTTTTTTTTTTTTTTTGGAGTCTCTATCGCCCAGACTGGAGTGCAGTGGCGCGATCTTGGCTCACTGCAAGCTCTGCCTCCCGGGGTTCACGCCATTCTTCTGCCTCAGCCTCCCAAGTAGCTGGGACTACAGGCGCCCGCCACCACGCCCGGCTAATTTTTTGTATTTTTAGTAGAGATGGGGTTTCACCGTGTTAGCCAGGCTGGTCTCGATCTCCTGACCTCGTGATCCGCCCCTCTTGGCCTCCCAAAGTAATTAATCATCTTTTAAAAGCTTTCAGGTGATTAAAGAGAAATACCTCAGAAGCCACATTTCCTCCCATTCCACAGATGGAAACGGATGAGACACTGCTTAATGTGGGAAATACACCAAATGCTGTAGTTTGAGCATCAGAAAAGGCTCTCTGTAAAATACAGCTGAAAATGAGCATGGAGCATCATCATTTGGAAGGCATCTTTAACATTTCTCAGTTCTTCATTAAATTCTGAAATGCAGGTAAAATAATGAAAATGAGATGAAAAACCACTGTGAGAAATACAGATTAATTAAAGTAAACCAATTAACAGAAATCATGGTTTATACTATATGCTTTATACTACTCCCAGGGATAAAGAATGCATACTGACCTTCACTATCTATTTTCAATATTTTTTCATACTAATTGTATTTTAACAAGAGATTCTGATTCACCATGTATTGAAGGAATAGCCAATTGCAAAAATAATCTCTTAGACTTTCATTCTAAGAAAAGAGACTTCAAGAAAATAAAATGAGACTTCAGTGAAGTCAGTTTCTATGCAGTGTGCTGACTGAAATCAAGTTAAGTGTGTAAACTGTTGCAGAATTGCCTTCCTCATTAACCAATGGCTTCATTGAGAAATGCTATGAGCATTATGTAAAATTCAGTATTTCCTGTAATTTAGGATGCTGCCAAGGACATTGTCTGCTACCCCACATTTCATGTCATCCAGTTCAGGTCTCAGAAAAATAACCCTACATTCTGAATAACTGCCTGATTTTAATTTTTATGGAAACTGATTAAATAATTCAGCATATTTTATTCTTTCCCTTCTCTCTCTCTCACTGTGTGTTTCTCTCTTTGTCTCGTTATCTCCCTTTCTTTCACTCACTTGCTATTAGGCAACTTAAAGCCAAAATTGAGGTCCACCTCTAGCCACTGCATAGGATTCTCCAACATGCATGTCTGTGTGCATTTGTCACAATGACTTTGATGTTTTACCCATATTCTCCCTTCATCTTGACTCACTATTTGTGATTTGTAAGCTAATTTAAATCATTTATGGAAAAAAAGTGGTAAATAAATATATTGGCACTCTGCAATGTGGCAAGAACATAGTCACTGGCTTGTTCCAGCTCATATTGAGGACCAAATCTTGGGTACAGATTGGTTATTGTGGTCCATGGAACCAGGCCCTGGCTATATAAACACTACCTCAATAGCACCATTATTGTCAAAGCAGTTCAAAAACTGTTTTACTTTTTTTAGATTCGAGAAATGCCATTAAAGAAGCTAATTTCACAGGTTTGGACCTGCCATGTCTATTGGGCTTGCCAAGAATAACTATAGATCCTTGCTATCTAATGGCTGCTCACGCAGGAATTCAGCTTAGCTTTCTGGAGAATATAACTGACTAAAAACAACGTGGACTTTCACATCTATTTTTGCTATTACAGCAACTCTTTAAATTCATATGGAATTCTTTGTACAACTTGCATTGAAAACACTGAAAAGATGTCTCACCTAATTAATTCAGATAATTGACAGAAGATGTATTAAAATTGGAAAAAAATGAAAGACTATGAAATATACCATATAAATGTATTTTTATTATTGCCAGTACTTATGGGAACAGGATTCACAAGCCAGTATAGAGTGCCAAATGCAGGTTCCATCATATTCTGCCTTTCCAGAAAAGTTATTTTAAAAAGCATATTTTGGTTTATGAATAGTAATAGTGAATGTATTTTTAATGTGTTAAAATATCTCATTTTAGATGAAACTATTTTTCTTTGTTTTTCTTGTTCATACTACTTTGTTTACAAATCCTTCTTCCCCAATGATTCAAATTTAAGCCTTACCACAGCCTCATCCAAATTTCCTCAAAACTCATCATTTATGTACATCACAAAAATAATAAATTATATCATATCATGAAGATTTATCAATAAATATACATCATTTATGTATATTACAAAAATAATAAATTAGATCATATCATACCTTGAAATAAGCTAAAATATAGATATTTGAATATTTTAGTAATTATCTTTCTGAAGTCTTACCTTGGTATAAGATGTATTTTGTTAAATGAGGTTACATGAAATTTGCTCCTTAGTATTCTATTGTCATATTCAAAAATAGAAAGCTTGGCAGTATTCCTAGAAATAAGGCTTGAGGAGAGAGCAGGTGGATTCATAAAGGGAAGCTCAGTGTTTACAGGAAGGTGAGTGTACAGGGATAACTCTTGTTAAAAACACCTCTGCATGTTTTTCATGTCACTCTCACTTAGCTGGCTGGGAAACCACACAAAGGCGTTCTGTTTCATGCACAGGACCAGACTCAAAATATTTATTAAGTTCTGCTAAAACCATACACATAACTCGGTGAATGTCTAGACAGGAATAATTAGTATTTAAAGTAAAGGATAACTTATGATGACTTGTGAACACTAGTGACTCGCTGAGTAAACGTGTGTTGATGTTTTGATATTTAAATTCCACAAAAAAAATCAGTTTCCTGAGCTGGTCTAACCCCTAAGATTGTATTTCTATTCAGTCTTTCTGAGCTTTTTCTCATTATTCCCAGCCTGAGATTCTATATCTTCAAGTTAATTTGCTTGCTGCCACCCACACAGGAGACTTACTAACCTCCTCAGTATCATCATATATGATTTGATTATACTGAAATTCTCTTTCCATCCAACTTGACTAATCATTTAACTACCTTCTCTGGAAACACATTCTCTATGGCTTACCCCGTCTACAGGCTTTTCATAATTGGTTCCTCTTTACTCTGCTCCTTTCGTAATAAATAAATATCCACAACTTCTAGGTATAGAATAGGTTGCTAAGTGCACATTCTCCATGTGTGTTTCTTGGGTCTTTTAAGTTACACTTACGTAAATTTAAAAGTCAAATCTTTATACAAATCTAGGTGTTTTATATATTGACATAAACTATCATTTTAATTTTATAAATGACAATTACCTTCAAATATTTAATTTCCTCTTGTTTATGTTCAAGTTAAAATGAATATGAGAAGTATTATGTGAATAAAGATTTCTAGATCAAGTAAGTTCAGAAAGTCTCTATTAAACAATAGTAGTTTCCTTTACTGCAGCTCACCTTAGGGCCTGTAATGTGATGTAATATATAACTCTTTTAAGTGGCATTTTCTGAACCTATATAACCATAAATTTTGTTGATTTTTTTCCGAAGTGTCACTGGACCATTTTGGAAAATGTTATCTCGGGTAGCTAAATGCGATCTATTTGTTGAGGCTGGAGCCCATGATAGTACAAAAAACATTTGTTAAGGTTTTATAGCTTACTTAGTTACTTTTCAATCTCATTTCAAACAACAATCTAGTAAAGCATTTATGCTTATCTAAATAAAACTTGCCTCAGAACTATTAAGGAATTTACCAATTCCACATATTTACTGATAGTGTTAGTTCTCAACTCCTGACCATAAAGCGTAAATCCTTGATGAACTACTCAGCCTTCATGTGTATAAAACTAGTCCAGAGAAAAAAATATTGTAAAGCTTATCATTCTGAATGTTTGAAAAATTAATTCAGCATATATACGTGGTTCAAAGTGGGTTTGGATCTATAGTTAATTAGTTTCACTGACATTTTCTGGATCTTGATAGACAACATTTAAATAAAAATAAATGTCATTTTTTAATTTCAAACATGAGGAAAGAATATAATTTTAAGAGAAACAAAGAAAACTTAAAAGAGTGATAAGGATAATGTATATGATTTTATGTGGTAAGATATTATTCTAATTCATATTAATTTCACAAATTTTGTATCATCTATATTTTCTTCCCTGTCAAATTTAATATATTAGCAAACTGAAATAAATGACATTTATTTGTAGAAATATGCTCTAAATTTTGAATAAATGATATACAGAGATTTGGAAATAATTTTTTAAATGTACATTTGAGAACTATGTTATTATATCTATTAGATAACATAGAACATAATAAAATACAGCAAATTTTAGTTGAAAGTAATTTACTGTATCCAGAAAAAACCTCATACATACACATAGGATATACATTTAAGTTTATATACAGTATAGCATGAAATCATGTTTGTAGAGATAGTAATGGCTATTTTGGGACCCAAATTGGCAAACATAAACAATAATCTACAATATTAAAGGGCAGAATTGTACCCCTCATTATTATTGAAGATACATTGTTTGATATCCTTAAAACTTTTCAAACATTTATTATTAAATATGCAGAATCCTCAGATTGTTGGTAACTTCCTCATTAAACATACAAAACCCAATAGTGTACACAGTTTTTACTTTAGCGTAGCATTCAAATAAAACATCTAATATATCTTAGCAACTAAAGATAACAATAACCATTTCAGCAATAGAAATTACCGGATATTAAAGGCATCTTTCATACAATAGTATTTTATTTGCCTCTCTGACACTTCTTATTAGCAA
Source organism: Homo sapiens (assembly GCF_000001405.40). Taxonomy (NCBI): domain Eukaryota; kingdom Metazoa; phylum Chordata; class Mammalia; order Primates; family Hominidae; genus Homo; species Homo sapiens. The sequence goes on along the minus strand of NC_000004.12, from coordinate 156,221,927 downwards.
GATTTAAAGGTAAGTTAGACAGTAGTTTTTGGGTCCATTTTTGCACAGGGTGATTCCTACAGTTAGCCTTTGATCTTGCTGGGGATTCTGACCAGGGATTTAATCCCAGTAGGTCCCTTACTCTCCGACTCTCCCCATTTCCTGAAGCAAACAAGAGAGCCCAAGTATGCAGGTCAAGTTGAAGAGTCATGAGTCAGATGTGGGACATAGAATCTGGCTGAAGAATGGTGCCAAGTCGTGTGTCTCCAGAAACTTTTCGGAATAAAAGGAAATCTGAGTACTGAGCTGCCAAGTGATTCTGGAACAAACTGACACTAGTCCAACCTGTTGTTATGAAATATTTCTTACTTACTTGTGACAGTCCTCACTGATTGGTGACATGTTAAATTTGACACTTCTGTCCAGTCTCCAATTTTCCCAAAAGGGAGGTAATTGTTTCTTTTGTTATAAGTACTTTGTGGATTCCTTTGTTAGACCTTGTTATATTGTACTTGTTTGCTTAGAGCCTATCTTTTTAAATAGGCTATGAGCCCTTTTAAAACAAAAATCATGGTTATCTCTGTATCAATATCTTTCTGTACAAATTATTTCTGTACAAATTAATAGACAAATAGAAACTTTTAACAAATGTTCCTTCTGTTCTCCTTTGTCCATTTGGGGTCTAGAGAATTTTTAATAAATATCATTGAAGACACTATAGGTTTAAAGTACAACTAAAATTTCATTTTAGTGAATACCATTCTCATATTTGGTGGAGGCTATTTTCACATCTTGACTCTTAGTCTGTATTCAAACACTGTACTATTTAGAGGGATGTAATTACTAGTCATTTAAATGCCTACATGTGAAACAAATAACTTAATTTTTTGTGTAAAATAATTACATTTTATATGTTAAGCATTCTTAGTAATGTATAGATAGAGACATGTGTAGACTGATTACTGAGCATGTTACACATTCTCTGATCCAATCTCAGTTTATTTCATGTGAGAGTATTGATTGCAGAAAGACAGTCATGTTTAAAAATAAGTTTAAAAAACAAATAAATATAAGTAGCTCAGGATTAATGGTTGTGAGAGTTGGAGAAATTAAAAATAGATAATCCTTCTCTTGGAGAAAGTGGAACTTAAAATGATCTCATTCGTCCTGTATCTGGGGAGCAAGACCAACAATAAATGTACACATGATTGAAGAATGAGAGTCAATTACTTTTCCTGTGGCTATCTTTATTTTAATACATCTGCGATTAAAAGATCCCATTCTTCTTCATCTCATCTTTTCAAAGACAGTTTCCTAAGACACATTTTTGAGAGGTGAGCATTCTTGATATTCTCTCTCCTTTCACTAGCAAGCTTCCATCCATCCAGTCTGACTTTCAACATTTCTGAAATCCTTGTGTCCTTTATGAGAAAGACTGCCTAAGTGGAAACAGGACTAGAGCAGAGGCACCAGGGAGAAGGAAGTTACATTATCTCTGGTGACAGAAGTCAGTGTGTAAACCAAGACAGTGGCAACATGGGAGGACAACAGTGGAAAGATTTATGAAATATTAAACACACAGAATCAATAGGACTTAGTGAGTAATTATATCCGGGAAGTATGGGCACAGAAAGGGACAATGCTGATTTTGAGGTTGCATATTATGACAACTTGATGGACAAAGATGCCTCCCATTATGGTGAAAATCACAGGAGGGAGAAAGGAGGAGCTTTCTGGAGAACTTAGAAACTTATGGAACAAATACATAGAATTGTCAGATAGGCTGTCTACTACAGTTATACACACTGAGGGCTTGAGAGACAGGCTCAAACCGAAAATGAAAGTTTGGGAATCTCTAGCGTGTAGGTGATAAGTAACATCACATAAAATAAATATGGAAGTGAGAACAGAAGAGGTCTCTTCTTGCACTGCTATAAAGAAATACCTGAGATGGGTAACTTATAAAGAAAAGAGGTTTAATTAGCTCATGGTTCCACAGGCTGTATAGGACGCACAATGCTGGCAATCTGCTTGACTTCAGGAGAGGCCTCAGGAAACTTACAATCATGATGGAAGGTAAAGGGGAGCAGGCATATCTTACATGGCCAGAGCAGGAGCAAAGGATGGGGAGAGATGCTACACACTTTTAAACAATCAGATCTCACGAGAACTCACTATCATGATGACAGCACCAAAGGGAGATGGCATTAAACCACAAGAAACCACATCCATTATCCAATGACCTCCCACCAGGTGCCACTCCAGCACTGGGGATTACAAATTGATATTGGGTGTGGATACACATCAAACTATATTATTCCACCCTTGACCTCTCTCAAATCTCATGTCCTTCTCACATTTTAAAATACAATCATGCCTTCCCAACAGTCCCCCCAAGGTCTTAACTCATTCAAGTATTAACTCACGTGTCCAAAGTCTAAAGTCTCATCTGAGACACGGCCAATCCTTTGCACCTATGAGCCTGTAAAATAAAAAAAAAAGTTAGTTAGATTGAAGATACAATAGAGGTATGGGTATTGGGTGAATACTCTGATTCCAAAAGGGAAAAACTGGCTAAAAGAAAGGGGCTACAGGCCCCACGCAAGTCCAAAACCCAACAGGCAGTCATTAAATTTTAAAGCTCCAAAACAACCCCCTTTGACTCCATCTCCCACATCCAGAGAATACTGACGCAAGGGTTGGACTCCCAGGGTTTTGGGTAGCTCTGCCCCTGTGGCTTTTCAGGGTTCATCCCCAAGGGCTGCTCTCAAGAACTGACATTGAGTGCCTATGGCTTTTCCAGGCTCAGGGTGTAGGCTGCCAGTGGATGTACCATTCTGAGGTCTGGAGGTTGGTGGCCCTCTTCTCTCAGCTCCACTGGACAGTGCCCCAGTGGATACTCTGTGTGGGGGCTCCAACCCCATGTTTCTCCTTTGCACTACTCTAGTAGAAGTTCTCCATGTGGGCTCCACCCCTGAGCAGGCTTATGCCTGGATATCCAGGCTTTTCCATATATCCTGTGAAATCTAGGCAGAAGATACCAAGCCTCAGCTCTTACACTCTGTGCGCCCTAAGGCTTAATGCCATGTGGAAGCCACCAAGGCCTATGGCTTGCACTCCCTGATGCAGCAGCCCCAGCTGTGCCTGGACCCATTTTAGCCATGGCTGGAACTGGAGCAGATGGTATGCATGGAGCAATGTCCCAAGGTTGAAAATGGCAGTGGGGCCCTGAGTAGGGCCCACAAAACCATTCTGTCCTCCTAGGCCTTTATGCCTATGGTGGGAGGGACTGCCAGGATGGTCTCTGAAATGCCTTTGAGGCCTTCTCCCCATTGTCTTGGCTATTGACAATTAGCTTCTCTTTACTTTTGCAAATTTCTGCAACCTGCTTGAATTCCTCCTCTGAAAATGGGCTTTTCTTTTCTAGCACATGGCCAGGCTGCAAATTTTCTAAACTTTCATTCTCTGCTTTCCTTTTAAATATAAGTTCCAGTTTCAGGTCATTTCGTTGCTCACCCATATGAGCATAGGTTGTTAGAAAAAGCCAGGCCACATCTTCAATGCTCTGCTGCTTCAAAATTTCTTCCAACAGATATCCTAAATTATCTCTCTCAAGTTCAAAGTTCCACAGGTCCCTAAAGCAGGGCCACAATGCACCCAGCCTCTTTGTTAAAATATAACAAAAGTGAATGTTCCAGCTCCTAATAAGTTTCTTATTTCCATTTGAGACCTCCTCAGACTGGACTTCATTGTCCATATCACTATCAGCATTTTGGTCACAATAATTAAACAAGTCTCTAAGAAGTTCTAAAATTTCCCTCATCTTCCTGTCCTCTTCTGAGTGCTTCATACCCTTTCAAACTCTGTCTATTATCCAGTTCCAAAGCTGCTTCCACATTTTCAGGTGTCTTTATAGCAATGCCCCTCTCCTTGATACCAATTTTCTGTATTAGTTTGTTCTCGCATTGGTGTAAAGAAATACCTGAGACTGTGTAATTTATAAAGAAAAGATGTTTAATTGGCTCACAGTTCCACAGGCTGTAAAGGAAGCACAATGATGGCATCTGCTTGGCTTCTAGGGAGGCCTCAGGAAACATGGCAGAAGGTGAAGGAGAAGCAGTCATGTCTTACATGACCGGAACAGGAGCAAGAGAGACAGAGCAGAGAGATGGTACACACTTTTAAACAACCAGTACTTATGAGAACTCATTACCACAATGATAGCACCACAGGGGGAAGGTGTTAAACCATGAGAAACTGCACCCATGATCCAATGTCCTCCCACCAGATTCCACTTTTAGCATTGGAGATTACAAATTGACATGAGATTTGGTCAGGGACACAGATCCAAACCATATCAAGGTCCTTACATGCAGCCTGTATGCTCAGCCATCTTTAAGGCATAGATAGAAGAGGAGGTGCTCAAGAAGGAGATTGAGAAAGATCAGCTGGAAACATAGAAGATTGATATCATGGAAAACAAGGAGGACTGAGTTTCCAGGAAAAGTCACTTGGCAACAAAACACAATGAAGCATTTTTGGCACAAGGGATCATTCAAATAGAACGTAAACACCAATGCTTTGTAATCTACAGAACATCTGCTACTTTTAATACTTCACTCCAGCCATCTAGAGTAATTTGTTAATGTTTTGGTGTATAAACTGTATGAAAATTTTGCTTTATATGTACAGATAGAACCAATAAATCATAAACTAAACTCCCTGTAAAAAATAGTGTCTCTTTCAAATGAATTAAATATCACACAGTAATTTGTTGTCCAGCAAATTTTATGAGTTTTCTCCATAATTTTGAGGAAAAAAATCATCTAAAATAAGTCATTACAAAAGGGACAATCATGACCAATATCAAAAGTCTTAATCATATAGTGCAAAATATGTGGAATACTTGTCTGAGAGGCAAAGATTCTGTTGTATAGTGATTTTTTTATTATTATGTAAGAATTTTCCACTTCGCCAAAGGTAGCAAGAGTGAATAATAGAAATCGCTTAGTAAATAAAGTACTCGTATAGCTTTAAAACATCCTTAAAAACTCTAGAGTCTAAAGGTTTTCAATCTCTTTTGTGCATTCTGTCTCTGTTATAGTTAATCAGAGTGGAAGTCTACCAGTGTTGATTCTAAGAATGAAATTTTAAATCCATTTTCACCTTGAAATTGCAGAAGTGGAAAAAAATGCAGGTTAATATTAAAAGTCAGAATCGAGTTCTTAAGAGTTTTTTTTTTTTTATTTTTAAAGAGATGGAGGCTATGAAATCATGCCAGTGAAAGTGCTGGAAAGCTTTTTGTCCAGATATTCAATTTTTCTGCAGTTAGAACAGCTTACCACCTTGTAGAGGTCTTGAACCACACAGCCTGCTGGTCTCTGCCTTTCATTGCTTTTAAAATCAATCTTTCAAATCTTTGAAATAAGGAAGTTCTTAGCAAGCATATCTACCAAGTCACTATATTAGAATATGCAGGAAAATACATTAAAGACATTTTATGCATGTTTACATTTGGGTTATTTTCTCTTAACCTTTGGGATCTTTTTCACAAAAGTATCCAATTTAACAAGACTGAGTTAAAAGTTCACTTTGAAGTCACTGAAAGTTAAAATAAAGATGCAAAACTCCAAGCCTCCATAGGACAGGACAATGTTAGATGTTTTTTAAAGGACATTAAATAATCAGAACTGTTAAATAAGTAGGAGACCATTGGCTTGAGGCTATCTCTATATTTTGAGTTCCTACCCAAAGAACTGCAACCTAACCTAGCATGGAATGAAACCAAAACTTAATTTAGTGTATTCTTTGTAATGTATATTTGGGTCTCAGCCAATCAAAAGCAGCCAAGCTTCAGCCAGTCACATGCTGCCAACTGTGCCAACTGATCAATAAGCAATCAAACTATCGTATAATACTTTACTACTTTACTTCTATTTTCTGTCTACAAGTACTCACTGGCCACAATGCCAAAAAAAAAAATAAATAAATAAAGCTTTCTAAACTGCTTCTGGTTCTGAGTGTTACCTTATTTGTGAATTGTTCTTTGCTCAAATAAACTCTGTTAAATTTAATTTGTCTAAAGTTTTTCTAATATAACATCTTCATATAGTAAGATAGGTGGAAGTGGCTGATCTGCAGAATTTAGTCTGGATTTAAAATGAAATGAAAGCCACTAAGAAGGAAATAAATCTCTGTTAAGAGATTTTCTTGTAGAAAATTTACGTTTTTGTCACTTCACCTCAGATCTTAGGGTAACAAGTGACCATCTTGAAGTAAAATGCTACACAACAATGAATAATGCCATCTGTTTCCAGAAATGTTAAAGATGCTGTAATTTCAAATTTAGACTTACTAGGGGTGATGCAGTCAATAAAGTTACAGTTTTCATAAGATCTTAAAATATAGTTTTTAATAAAATTATTTTAATGTATTTTCTGTATGTTTTGTCAGTTGTAAATATCATGGTACATTTCTGTATGACATCATACTTCTGTACAAGTATCTACATGCTTAGAAGTATTGATTTAAAAAACCCTGCAATTCTAACATGTTCATGTGAACCAGTCTACAGCATTCCAGACTTTGGCACAGGATTTGTATTTTGTAATTTTTAAACCTACCTAAATGCATTCCATTATTTTTTTAAAAAGAACATTTAATTATTCCATTTATTTATGGATATTTTTGTGAAATATATTATGCTTTAAGTTTCTAATATTTTGAAAAGAATCATACCTTCTAGGAAAAAATGTTAATTTGGCGATGGTATTGTTATGTTAATTTCTAATTTTTTTAGACTCAGGGTAGAAGTAATTCTTATGAAAACAAATAGTAATCAAGTAAAGTCAACTTTTACTATAATCCAGAGGTTTGAAAATATGTATTCTGTTAATGTGATATTCAAGTTAGTCAGAAATTCAATCCTAGAATTTTACATACACCCACTAACTTTTCATTATTTATGAAATATACAGGTAAATGGTATGGCTTCTGTCCTGTGGAAGGTATATATAACTGGATTCTATTAAAAAGAATTTGTGACATTTAAGATGTCTGCTAGGTGACAGGCTATCTGATAAATCCTGAAACCACACAAATAAATCAGAATGGGAAACCTCAAATAATGCTGGGATTATTTTTAGAAGTCTCTTAGTCTGATTCACATTTTTCGTTGTACTGAATGTAGTATTCTGACACTGATGAAACATGTAATCAGGGCCAAATATGATTGTTTTTAAATTGACAATAATTACATCCACATCATGTTCATGATGAAATAAAATATATACATTTATATGCATACTTATATTTACGTAGAAACAGAACTAAGTGGACTTCTTTAAATTTAAATGTATGACTTCAAACAATTCTTCTGTTTCTCTAATAGGATTTTCTAATTTTCAAAAACTAATAATTTCACACTTTATTTTGGCTTAAGTCTATATCACTTCCTTCTCCATCCTTTCCTGACTAATAACCAAGATTCAAATTTAGTTGAGAAAAACAGAAGACATCAGAAGCCTTTTAATTTTCCCTCCTCTAAACCTGCCCACCAGCGGCATTTTCCCTCTTCTCCTTCTTCGGTCCTATTACAACGGAGGGTGCCCTCTTGCTATGAAATATCAATTTTTCGTGTGGGTGCAGTCGCTCATGCCTGTAATGCCAGCACTTTGGGAGGCCGAGGTCGGCAGATCACGAGGTCAAGAGATCAAGACCATCCTGGCCAACATGGTGAATCCCTGTCTCTACTGAAAATACAAAAATTAGCTGGGCCTGGTGGCGCGAGACTGTAATCCCAGCTACTTGGGAGGCTGAGGCAGGAGAATCGCTTGAATCCAGGAGGCAGAGGTTGCAGTGAGCTGAGATCGTGCCACCGCACTCCAGCCTGGGTGACAGAGAGAGACTCCATCTCAAAAACAGAAAAAGAAAAAAAATCAGTTTTTCCATTTGTGTTCTAAATCCCAAGCCTACTTCCCTTCTCAGATATTTATATTCGTCTTCTTTCTCTTTCTTTTTCACATATCATCAGATTCACTGTATCCACTGGATAATCTTAATTAGGGAAACATATTATATTTAGTTCCAATCCTTTATCTCACATGCCCCTTTGAAATGCCCTTTGAAAGGAAAATATCTTGGGCCCCCCAAATCACTAAAAAACTCAAGCTGGAAACTGCTTAAGGCAAACCGGCCTCCAATTCTATTCAAAGTCACCCCTCTGCTCACTGAGATAGATGCATATCTGATTGCCTCCTTTGGAAAGGCTAATGAGAAACAAAAAAACACAGTGGTTTGAGTTTCACCTGTCTGACCTGAAAGCTCCCTCCTGCTTCAAGTCTTCCTGCCTTTACTTCAAGTTGTCCCGCCTTTCCAGACGGAGCCGATGTACTTCTTACACATATTGATTGATGTCTCATGTCTCCCTAAAATGTATAAAACCAAGCTGTGCCCCAACCACCTTGAGCACAGGTCATCAGGACTTCCTCAGGCTGTGTCACGGGTGTGTCCTCAACCTTGGCAAAATAATCTTTTCTCATCTAATCTTCAAATATCTCAGCAAAATGAGCAAACAACAAACAAAATCTAACACAACAAAGCAACAAAAGTGATTCTGTTAATGGAACAGGAAGATCTCAATGTCTTCTTTACACAATACCAGAAGGTGGTAACATCAATAAAATCACATCTGTAATTTTTTTTTCTTTCCAACTTTTATTTTAGGCTCAAGAGGTACATGTGAAGATTTGTTAATAGGTAAATTTTGCATTGTGGGGGTTTGGTGTACAGATTATTTTGTCACCTGGGTAATGAGCATAGTACTAGATAGATAGCATTTTGATCCTCGCTCTCCTTCCATCATCCACCCTCTAGCAGTCCTGAGTGTCTGTTGTTCCCTTCTTTGTGTCCATGTGTACTCAGTGTTTAGCTCCCACTTATAAGTGAAAACATGCAGTATTTGGTTTTCTGTTCCTGCATTCATTGGCTCAGGAAAATGGCCTCCAGCTCCATTCATGTTGCTGCAAAGGACGCAATTTCATTTTTTTTTTTCTGGATGCATATTATCCCATGGTGTATTTGTACCACATTTTCTTTATATACTCTACCATTGATAGGCATGTAGGTTGATTCCCTCTCTTTGCTATTGTGAATAGTGCCGCGATGAACACACACGTGCATGTATCTTTATGACAGAATGATTTATATTCCTTTGTGTATATACCCAGTAATGGGATTGCTGAGTCAAATGGTAGTTCTGTTTTATACATTTTCACCAGCAGTCTAAGTGTTTTCTTTTCTCCAAAGCCTCACCAGCATCTGTTTTTTTTTTTAAGTTATTTTTTTAATAGTGAGAGGTGGTATCTCAGTGTGGTTTTGACTTGCATTTCTCCAGTGATTAGTGATGTTGAACATTTTTTCATATACTTGTTGGCTATGTGTGTATCTTCTTTTGAGAAGTGGCTGTTCTTTTTTAAGGGGATTATTTTTTGCTTGTTGATTATTTAATTTCCTTATAGATTCTGGATATGAGACCTTTGTCAGATGCTTAGTTTGCAAATATTTTCTTCCATTCTGTAGGTTATCTGTTTATTCTATTGATAGTTGATTCTGTTTATTCTGTTGATTCTTTTATTCTGTTGATAGTTTCCTTTCATACAGAAGCTCTTTTGTTTAATTAGGTCCCACTTGTCAATTTTTTTGTTTTTGTGTGATTGCTTTTAGAGTCTTCATCATTAAATCTTTGCCACGGCCAATGTCCAGAATGGCACTTCCTAGATTTTCTTCTCAGGCTTTTATAATCTTAGGTTTTACATTTAAGTCATCAATCCATCTTAAGTTGATTTTTACATGTGGTAAATGAAGGCATCCAATTTCTATCTCTTGTATATGGCTAGCCAGTTATCTCAACACCATTTATCAAATGGAAAGTCCTTTCCCCATTGCTTGTCTTTGACAGCTTTGGTCAAGATCATATGGTTGTAGGTGTTTGGCTTTATTTGTGGGCTCTCTATGCTGTTCCATTGGTCTATGTGTCTGTTTTTGTACCAGTACCATGCTGTTTTTCTTACCATAGTCTTGTAGTATAGTTTGAAGTCAGGTAGTGTGGTGCCTGCAGCTTTGTTCTTTTTGCTTAGGATTGCTATGTCTATTCAGTGTCTTTTTTGGTTCCATATGAATTTTAGAATAGCTGCTTGTAATTCTGTGGAAAATGTCACTGGTAATTTGACAGGAATAGCATTGAATCTGTAAAATGCTTTGGGTAACATGGCTATTTTAACAATATTGATTCTTCCTATCCATGAGCATGGAATGTTTTTCCATTTCTTTATGTTGTCTCTGATTTCTTTAAGCAATGTTTTGTAATTCTCCTTGTGGAGATCTTTCACCTCTCTGGATAGATGTATTCCTAGGTATTTTATTCTTTTTGTGAGTATTGTGAGTGGAATTTTGTTATTGATTTGGCTGTCAGCTTGGACATTATTGGTGTGTAGAAATGCTGATGATTTTTATACATTGATATAGTTAGGCTTTGTATCCCTACCCAAATGTCATCTTGAATAGTAATCCCCATAATCACTAGGTGTCAAGGGAGAGACCAGGTGGAGGTGATTGAATCATGGTTGCAGTTTCCCCCATTCTGTTCTCATGATAGTGAGTGAATTCTCATGAGATCTGATGGTTTTATAAGGGGCTCTTCCCCTTTTGCTTGGCACTTCTTCCTGCCACTTTGTAAAGAAGGTGCCATGCTTTCCCTTTGCCTTCCACCATGATTGTAAGTTTCCTGAGGCCTCCCCAGCCATGTGGAACTGTGACTCAATTAAACCACTTTCTTTTATAAATTACCCAGTTTGGGGTAGTTCTTCATAGCAGTATGAAAACATACTAATACATACACTGATTTTGTATCCTACAAAAAAAATTAAACAAAAAGATAAAAGACAAAAACAAAAAAGAACAAAAGAACAATAAAAACCACCACCAACAAAAATCTTTCGTAACCTGAAACTTTGCTGAAGTTGTTTATTAGTTCTAAGAGCGTTTGGACAGATACTGTGGAGTTTTCCAGGCAGGCAATTATTTCATCTGGAGAGAGAGAGAGAATTTGACTTCCACTCTTTCTATTTAGAAAATGTTTATCACACTAAACATTCTATAAAGGTCCAAGTGACAATTTATATGTAATGGCAAATAAATGAACTTCTCTTGTAATATTATCAAATATGTCATGCATGTATATTTCTGCAAAAATATATTCTAAGCTATAGTTCTCCTTATTGAAATATAATTCATAAGTAAAAAATTAAGTGAAAAGAAATTGGAGTTGTAAACAGACTTGCAGGAAGCACTTGAAACCCAGTACATAATGAGTTGTCAAAATCAGTGCAATGCACATCAACAGAATTAAACTCAACTGCTAAAATACATTCATTAAATGAGAAGGTGTATACATTATACACCTTAGCTACAATATTAGCAATTGAATAATAACAGGCAAGTTCTAAAATCCAAATTATTTTTAAAAATCAATCATGGATAGGAAAGCAGGGGAGTATATAAAAACATATTCAAGTTCTAATCTTTTTTTTTTTTTTTTTTGAGACAGAGTCTCTCTCTGTCGCCTAGGCTGGAGTGCAGTGGCGCGATCTCAGCTCATTGCAAGTTCTGCCTCCCCGGTTCACGCCATTCTCCTGCCTCAGCCTCCCGAATAGCTGGGACTACAGGCCCCCGCCACCACACCCAGCTAATTTTTTGTATTTTTAGTGGAGACGGGGTTTCATCGTGTTAGCCAGGATTGTCTCCATCTCCTGACCTCGTGATCTGCCCACCTCAGCCTCCCAAAGTGCTGGGATTCCAGGCGTGAGCCACTGCGCCCAGCCATATTCAAGTTCTAATCTTAACAGCATTTGTGAAAATTTAAAAAGTTAAATTTCTCAACAATATAGCCTCAATTAAGTTTTTAAAAATTCTAAATCTAAAGTAAGCCTATTAGAATTTTTCAAAAGTATACATAAGTCTAAATATAAAAAGATACAATTTGAATTGTGCACTTTTGGATAGAGAAAAACATTTCAGCAGTATATATAATGGGATGGGAGGAGGAAGGACCCACAAAAGAGGAATGTGATAAATTTTACTACATAAAAATTAGAAACTCCTGGGCATCAAATACATCATAAATACAAGTAAAAGGCAAGCCAGGTGTGGTAGCTCATGCCTGTAATCCCAGCACTTTGGGAGGCCCAGGCATGCAGATCACATGAGGTCAGTAGTTCGAGATCAGCCTGGCTAACATGGTGAAACCCTGTCTCTACTAAAAATACAAAAGCTAGCTGGGTGCAGTGGCACACTCCTATAATCTCAGCTACTTGGGAGGCTGAGGCACGAGAATCACTTGAACCCAGGAGGCAGATGTTGCAGTGAGCCAAGATTCCTCCACTGCACTCCAGCCTGGGCAACAGAGTGAGACTCTGTCTCAAAAAAAAGTAAAAGGCAAATAAGTCATGAAAAATATTTTTTAAATTATTGCAAATAAAAATGTTTTGAAAACTCATATAATTGGTAAGAGAAACATGGGCATACTTGTTACTATTAATATAATCTTTCTGCATTTATCCTTATAAATATTTATCAAACATTGATTTGTCACGGAACCAAATTATAGAATCAATTTGAGACAGATCTAGTTTAAGTAGTTATAAAGCCCTTATTTGTTTGCTCTTTCTTTTGTTTTTCAGAAATGATCCCTTGATTTTTCCATTTATTTCTAGGTATTTTTGAAGTGTACCAAATAGTTATTCAATACCACATAGTCTAGTTCCATTCCAGAATTAATCTAACTGTTGATTCCTTGAATTATTTTTATTGCATGTTTCTGTTATTTTTCTGGGTGTGCCAAAATTAGGTTCTTAAAGGTAGAGCTAATAGAAAACGTCTTTTGGTACAGCCTAAATGGAAACATTCAGTCATCTAGAACCAACATTGCAGAAGGGAATTATTTCCTCTCGAAAGCATATCCTAGAAGCAGGTGCTTACATCAAAAAGAAAAACAGAAGAGGGTGAGCTTTTAACATTTGGCCTGACAATTTTTCTCCTATTTCTGAGTTTGTTCTACTGCAGCATTTTTAGCTATTTCTTGTGTGTGGTGAATGTAGTTACTCTCAAGTTAGTAAAATGTAACTTTCAGGTCCTCTCACTGGCACAGGCCTATCTCAGGGCCCTCAGAAGTGCCGTACATAGGTGTTCCCATGATTATTATTATTATTTTTTTGTCAAGCATGCGGAGAAAGCTATTTGAAGTGCAATCTGTTGACTTGCAATCTGTTGACTTGCTGCTTTGATATAGACTTTGTTTTGACAATGCTCCTATCTGGTGGCATTGGAGTAGCAGTGGCACTTGGGGAACCCACTTAAGCAGAGGCGAGTTCAGTGGGATGTGTTCCTGTGGTTCATGTTCACTGCTGTGCCAAGTGAAGTAATTGCTGGGCACAATCAATATATAAGAAAGGCTTCCAGGACATCTCTTGTGCAGACTTCTCCAGATTTCTGATGCAAAAATGCAGGGTCAGAAGTCATACTGCAATCTGTGTCCTATGTTTTTCCTGCCCCAGAAATAGGTGGATAGTAGAGGAGAAAGAAATTTAAAAAGTATGAAGCCCAAAACAAGTCTGTGGAAATTTCTTTTTTCGTTGTGAACTTAGAATGTTAAGTGGAAAATTTTATTCTCATGAATACCTAGCTGAATAGTTTCTCACCTATCAGAAATATATTTGCTAATGCAACATGCATAATTATAAATTATCTATACACTTTTTTCTTTTTGGATGAGAATCTCAATGAGTAACTTTCATAGATCCTGTGTTGGTAGGGAACACACTTGCGGCAATATTGCAAATAGTACTTTTGCCTCTCAATGATTAAGTATGTTTTATTCACCTTGACACCCTCATAAACTCATAGCATCTTATAATCTCTGACACATCTTGTCCTGACAATACCTGCAAGATCCAGGTAAAACAGCATGCAAATTTGTGGCTGAAAGAGCAAAAGAGACATAAAAAAATGTGTCACTGACAAATGTCCTACACGTACTCATCAATGGGTCTGCGTGAGTAGTATAAGACTAATTTGTTATGTAAGTTCTTCAATATAATGAAGCAACTAAAAAAAAACATGAATTGCTCCAGTGTGTCACCCATATTCCGAATAATTTGGTATATGTTTCAAAATTATTAATTATAACAAAATTCAGAAAAAATATAGCTATGCATCCTAAAGTTTATAAACTTCTTACATTATTCCATGGATTGTGCTATGTTTGTGGTATTTGTCCATTTTTTACAAGTTAACATTTGTTCTGATTTCTTTTTTATTCTAAATAAATATTGACTATAGTCCTTAATTTTTAAATTCTTTTTCTTAAAAAAATCAAATTATAAAATAGACATTTAGTTATATGAATTTCCTCCAGAATATTGCAAATAATAGCACAGTATAATATCAGCTTAATGAAAGAGCTTATGCACTATGAAAAGACATGGGCAAAAAACTTAATTTTTAGAGCCACAACAGAACAGGTAAATCTACTTATCTTTTGTCTTTTCTTACGTAGTGAATAAACTCCTTCTCTCCTTTATAACACACAAATTTTATAATTATTATTTTAGTTAAGTCCATTGAGTTTGTCTAGTAATTAATTAATATATGTATGTCATTCAAAAGAAGACACAGATAATAGCTTTGTTAATTCAGTAGTTGAAAATTCCACCTTTATATCATGAGTGATGTGACATGAATGTGTGTCACTCAATAATGCTATAACAGCCTCTTTCCTGAGCTCCAGACTCAAATAAAATGCCACTTGATATCATCACACGAAGGTCAAATTGGTGTCACAAATTTAATTCCTTGGAACCACCCTGTGCCTTCCCCATGTACTCCGGCTCATTAAAAGTGTCAACAGTTGTTCAGGCTAAACACCAAGGAAATGGCATTATTTCCTCTCTCTCCCTCACTCTCCAGACCCAAATTTAATCCATCACCAAATCATGTTGGTTTAACTATCAAAATATATTTCAAATACATATACTTCTGATAAGGTTTGGTTCTGTGTTCCCACCCAAATCTCATCTTGAATTGTAATCCCCACGATGTGTTGAGGGAGGGACCAGGTGAGAGGTGATTGGAACATGGGGGCTGTTTCCCCCATGTGGTTCTCATGATAGCGAGGGAGTTCTGATGAGATCTTATTATTTTAAAGTGTGGCACTTCCCCTTTGCTTGCTGTCTCTCTCCTGCCACCATGTAAGACGTGCATTGCTTCCCCTTTGCCTTCCACCATGATTATAAGTTTCCTGAGGCTTCCCCAGCCATGCAGAACTGTGAGTCAATTAAATCTCTTTTGTTTATAAATTACCCAGTCTCCAGTAGTATCTTTATAGCAATGTGAAAATGGACTAATATGGATAATTGGTACCAGGATAGTGGGGTACTGCTATGAAGATAACCTGAAAATGTGGAAGTAACTTTGGAACTGAGTAACAGGCAGAGGATGGAACTGATTGGAGGGCTCAGAAGAAGACAGGAAGATGTGGGAAAGTTTGGAGCTTCCTAGAAACTTGTTGAATGGTTTTGAACAAAATGCTGATATTGATATGGACAATGAAGTCCAGGCTGAGGTGATCTCAGATGGAAATGAGGAACTTATTGGGAACTGGAGCAAAGGTCACTCTTGCTATGCTTTAGCAAAAAGACTGGTGGCATTTTGCCCCTGTCCTAGAGCTCTATGGAACTTTGAACCTAAGAGAGATGATTTAGGGTATCTGGCAAAAGAAATTTCTAAGCAGCAAAGCATTCAAGAGTTGACCTGGCTTATTCCGAATGCATTCGGTTCCATGCATTCACAAAGAGATAGTTTGAAATCGGAACTTATGTTTAAAAGGAAAGCAGAGCATAAAGGTTTGGAAAATTTGCAGCCTGACCGTGTGGTAGAAAAAAAAAAACCCTATTTTCTGGGGAGGAATTCAAGCCAGCTGAAGAAATTTGAATAAGTAATGAGGAGCTGAAAGTTAATAGCCAAGACAATGAGGAAAATGTCTCCAGGGCATGCCAGAGACCTTCATAGCAGCCCCTTCCATCACAGACCTGAGGCCTTGGAGGAAAAAATAGCTTTGTGGATCTGGGCCAGGTCCAGGGCCTCACTGATCTGTGCAGCTATGGGACTTGGTACCCTGCATCCCAGCAGCTCCAGTTCCAGCCGTGGCTAAAAGGAGCCAAGGTACAACTTGGATTGTGGCTTCAGAGGGTGCAAGCCCCACACCTTAGTGGCTTCCACATGTGTTGGACCTGCAGGTGCACAGAAGACAAGAGTTGAGGTTTGGGAACCTCTGCCTAGATTTCAGAGGATGTATGGAAATGCCTGGCTGGATTCCCAGGCAGAAGTCTGCTGCATGGGCAGAGCCCTCATGGAGAACCTCTGTTAGGGAAATGCGGAAGGGAAATGTGGGTTTGGAGCCCCCACACAGAGTACCCACTGGAGCACTGTCTAGTGAGACTGTGAGAAGAGGGCCACTGTCCTCCAGACCCCAGAATGATGGATCTATGACAGCTTGCACCATGCACCTGGAAAAGCTGCAGGCACTCAATGCCAGCTTGTGAAAGCAGCCACAGGGGATAATTCCAAAAAACGATGGCACATATTGGACTAATATCATGGGATTATTTTTGATTCCTCTATAAGGAAAGCTTCTTAACAATACTAAGAAGCTTTTAAAAAGCTATATAAAAAACAGAGCTTAGAAAATAACGGCATTTATCCCTATCACATAAACATTTAAATTAGTGTAAATCAACAGAATCAACCATAACATTTCTTGAGATTTATACTATTTATTATCTGTGGACTTTTAAAACATTTGTCTAGGTCACAAAGACATTGTGTTTGTGACAAACACAAATACTATATGTATGTGAAAGTATATATTAAGTAATTGATATTTTCTCATAGTTAATACATGGAGCATTTTCTGCAACCATGTTATATATTTCACAGATCTTCTATTAATTTTCAAAATGAAAAAGCAGCACAATTTTCCATAAATATTACATCTATATTTATTAAATTAAATATGTATGAAGAAAAATATTAGTAAAAACAAAAAACATTTTATAATCTAGTTTTTTTATGGAAAATACATGTGTTATTCCTTTAGTTTTAAAATAATTATGCTGTCATTGAGCTATGAGCTTGATTTTCCAAACAGCAGTGATGATTTGTGGATCAGATATTAAGATGATGATTAACGATGTTTGAGAGGAAGAGCTAGATCCTTTCTTCTGTTGATAATGTTTTTCAGTGGGTTTATCTAGTGCCAGATCTGAAATGTTTTTCCTTTTATTTAAGATAACTTTTAACTTAAATGGGTAACTGTTTTCCAATTTAATTCTTGTACTGAGAAAAAAAGCTAAGTGATTTTAATTTTAAGGTATAAATTAATCTCTAGGAAAACAGTTTGAGGGAACTATGAGAGTTTGAAATATCTGACTACTACTTCCACAAACTCGAAAAGAAAATACAAGGTAGAACATGCAACAGTTCTGAAAACTAGGAAGATGGGCTATTAACCTGTAGAAACCTTGAGAATGCAACAGATACAATGCAGATAGGTTCAGACTAGAGAGGGCCTCACTTGCTAATTTGGAAATCAAATTTCCAAAAACAAATATGGCTTTTGAAAAAAAATAATAAGGGGTTCTTGATCCCAGAATAAACTCCTACATTAGATTCAGAAATGAAAATAGAGCCAGCCTGAGAAACTTGTGTTTTTCAGACAGCGTTGTCCTCTTTGTCTAGGCACCAGGCTTTCCTACAGCCATGTGGTTACCATAATGAGTGCATTAAGTTACCTGATGTAGTCCAGGTCAACTGTTTCTTCCCAGGATATTGAACATACATTTGGAAGTACTGTGGATCAGGAATTGTACACACGCAAAAAGCCCTTCTCTACCAAGAAGAAAGATGGCTAATATATGGAGAGACACAATGATAAAAGCCAGGGAGAGTCCAGACTGCTTCATTCTCTTCTTTCAGCTCTTTTTAAGATCCAGCTTGCATCCTTGTTCTTCCTAAGGTTTAGTTGCCCCTAATCTTCCAACACATCGTCACTTTTGAAAGTAAGTTAAAGTAGAACTTCTATCACCTACAATGAGGAGAGTCCTAAACGACACATAAGGAATACTCAGCTAAAATCACTTTAGATACTGAAAAGATGCCAATATCCAGGGCAGCCTCAATTGCCTGCAATAAATGGAGTCTATGGTGGCAGCCCAAGCTAAGGCCTTCAGCACTGGGTACAGAGGCTGGTACTACAACACATTGATGCCCAGACAGATTCTCTCCTCACAGAATTTATATTTTTCAGGGGAAATTAATAATTAGACAAGCAGTTATAATCTATTAAGAAGAGTACGATGTTGTTGGAAATGCAGAATGATGTGGGAACATAATAAAGGGCAGCTGTATAGGGAGCAGGGTGAGGAAATGAAAGGCAATGAGCAGGAAGAGTATTCTGTAGAGAATGAAGACCATGTGCAATGGTTGGGGGTGAGAGAATAATTCATTTCATGACCCGAAATAGTTTATTATAGATGCAGTGCAATCAGAGGAAGGGGGTAGTATGGAGGAAGCCTGGACATATAAACAGTACACTCAATTCAGGAAGAATTCGATAATAGTTTGTAACAGCATGGCCTTTTTTAAAGCTTGATAAGGAGGTGTTCCTTTTTATCCAATAATTGAATGGTATTTTATTTTAGAAAAATCACTATATCCACTGTGGAGAGAAAGAATTGAAGGTGGTTGTGATTAAATGTAGTAAGACTAGTAAAGAGGTTATCACAGTAATCCACACAATAGAAGTTAAATTGAAAAAACTTGGAAATTGTTATTTTGAGGGAGTGACAAAGAAGGATGAGTAAAAAAATGATACTTTTATTCTGGCTTGGCCAATTGAATAGTGGCATTCACTGTGATGGGCAAATCAGAGAAGAAAATATAGAGAAAGATTAATGTTTCATATTTAAATGTTAATTTTGAGGTAGGCATTTAAGTGTAGATATCGTTTGGGAGAGAATAGCATCAGAGACTCTGGAGATACAGCCTTATGAAACTATTATGTTGGTGCAAAAGTAATGCAGTTTCTGCTATTACTTTTAACAAAAGCCGCAGTTATTTTTGCACCAAAAATACATTATATTTAATAGTTCTTATCATGAGAAAGACCAAACAGAGCTATCCATGAGTTTGCAAAAAGATGTGGCTAGGTCTATTGGGCCTGGACCTGTGCATATGAATTCCGACAAAATTAGGAAGAAATCTTGCAGAAGTTATCTAGTAAAATTTTCCATGTTTTTGCCTCCCTCCCAACTCTCCTAAATGAACTAGCAAACAAGGCTCCTAACTTGAGACTGAAGAATCAGTCTCAATTCTATCTAAATGTTAAAGAAAAAGCCCCAGAAACAGTTTAGCAACCTTCTTTATGAAAGCAATATTAGGGTAAAATTTGATCCAGAATTTAAGTTAACAGAAGCCACAGTATACACACAGAAATGAAGCCTATATGTGTCTATGAAAATATTCTACAGCAAACATAGTAAAAGAACGTAATATAAAAGAAAGAATCATTACTGAAAACAAAAGGAAATCTCATATAGCATCTGCTTTATAATCAATAAAATGTAATTATTGTGAAACAAAGAAGGAAAGGGAGATGACAAGAAAAATACAAGAGGGGATTAAACGTGAATTGAATTACAAGGAAGTAGACATTTAAATGGTTCTAAGTAAGATATTTGTGAAACTTTTTGAAAAAAAGAATGTGATGTTAAAATTTTGAAATATAATTGAAGTAATAAATAGCAGAATTATAAAAGCTGATAATCATATCACTGATGTGGGAAATAGTCTTGAAAGAACGTAGACTTTGATTCCTAGAGAACTAAATTTGACTTTAGTGTGACAGGATTTGATTAAGCACTGAGTATAGTCTTTTGAATACAGAAATCCCGTTGTACTTAAAGCTAGCGGACCTGTGAACAACTTTGTCAGGTTCACGTCCTATAATGGAGAAAAACAAAAACAAAAACAAAAAAAACCCACACACACAAAAACCATTTCTATGAGAGACTGATGAACTTTGTTTAAATTTTTTTAAAAAAGGGAACACGTTCTGTAAACAAGTCACTAAATACAGAATTTTTAAAAATTTTAAAACAAGAAAGAAAATCTTCCATTGTGCATGGGAATATCCAGAAGCAAATGATGGATCTGCAGGTAAGTGGTATTCCTGAATAGCAAATGGAAGGGTATCACCGTGGGAATACTTAGTAGAAGTAAGCTTTCATGGTCTGAATTGAGATGTGAATGTACAGTTTCCCATATAATTACATGGATAAGTAATCAAAATCTGAATATATTCTGAGAAAAGTCTAACATCTTAAAGAAAAATTTAACAATATTATAAGGATTGAGGAGCAAACAAAACAAAGTAAAACTGAGCCATGGTGAAGCTTTTGGTCTGTCAGTATTAAAGCAAAAACTCTGTAGGAAAGGCTTAAACCAACATGAAAAAGTTGTAAATATTTCCCTGTAGGTGATTTTAGTATAAAGAGAACAAAAAAGAGGAACTGAAACTGATAAATAATAAAGTGTGACAAAGGTGATTATAAATAGTGTTATTAGTATGCCATGAAATCTTAAGATGAATAGATGGCTTTAAACAACAATGGGCTCACAGTGTTGTTTTGTTTGTTTTTTAATTGCCATCTTCAGACTGTCAAAAATAAAAAGGATAGAACTTGTTATGTATTCAAAGAAACAGGCTAAATCACACATTACTTGAGGATGGGGAATAATTTAACGTAAGCTTTAGAAAGGCAGTTTTAATATGCCTCTTTGGTCTCAAAACTGTCTATATTCCCACTAACCCGTAGTTTCCATTTTCAAGGAAAAAATTAATTATTAAACTAAAAATCCAATATTTTGTTTTAAAAGATATTTGCATGTAAGTGAAGTACAAAATCTAGAAACCAACACATCAAAATATTTACAACTTTATTTCTAGATTGTAGAGTTATTGGCCATTTATTTTTCATATTTTCTTGTATTTTTGGAATCAGTTACAATAACCATATATTTACCTATAATTAGAAAAAATGATTAAAATCTTAAAAAAATTAATTTCTTAAAGACATGAAACTTAGTCTCCTTTCTCTTCATTTTCTTAAATGTCTTGCTGTATATTGTGCCCGAATATTTACTTACTTATATAACTATGTAAATGTAAATGTTCATAAAAATAAAACTGATACTGGTCTTGGTGCTATCAGAATTTATGTTTTATTTTCAAAATTAATGATTCTTAGAAAATGAATTTTTGAACAGAGTTCTCAACAATACTGAGCAAACCATATCAGAGCCTGACACAAAAGAAAAAATAAGTAACATTACTCCGTATTTACTTAAAAGTGGATATTTTGTTTATCATGAATCTTTTTCACTATTTTTGTGGGTTTTTTAAAAATACTGCATTAAAATATTATCTGGACGACTGAGTTTGGGGGTCCCTCTTTCATTTTACTCTTCAAGGCAAGTGCCTAACTCTCCTCACTCTAGTTCCTGTCCTGGATCTCAGTACCTTATCCTCATTACCACATTCCCACTACCATCCCTCTCACTGTCTCCAAAAACGAAAAGGGAAGGGATAGAGAAAAAGTGATATGTGCATTTTATATACTTAAATCCTGTCCACTAATATATGGTAAAAAAAAAATTTACAAATTCCTTGGAATGATCTGTTTGATTTTCTCTGTGGAGTTCAGTCAAAGTTTATCATCAGTATCATCCAAATTAATGACAAAATAGATGAAAGAAAGCTTATTACAAGTTTGACCACTGTTTTCAAAAGTATAAGATATGCTGCCACTAGGAGATGCTCAAAAAAATCCTACATTGTTCAATTTAATCTTGTTTGAACTACCCTCTTCACATTTACTGGGGGAATTTTTGTTCCTTTTGTTTGATTATTATTCATCTGAGTAGAAACAAAATTTTGCTTTCCAAATATTAAAAAGGGCAATATATATGTTCTAGATCACAGCACCCATCGCTTACTATGTACAAGTGCTATAAAAACTAGATTAGAAAGATCTGACTGCATCATTCACTCTGAATAAAACTGGATTTATCAAGAATTCATCAACATGTGAGGATTTATACTGTCTCATATAAAAAGGGAAAAGATTGGGCCCTTTTAATTACTGTGACCTATATCCGTAGATCTAGCTGTAGCCATCAGGTTGGTTGAAAACTAATCAACAATATATTCTTCTTCTGGGCACCAAGGTTTTGTATCCGCTAATAGTGTCATGTGTATCATTTCTCTCTGAGCATCTTGTTAAAACCCCTGCAATACAATTTGAACTGTGTGCTAGGTTCGACAGGTATAAAGCTATGGATCTACAGTTTGGGGGATATTTCATTGCTTATCAACTATTATTCTGGTGGTATAATAAAAGGTCTGTTTTGCTTAGCATATTTTTTTCTCTCAAAAAAAATTTTTTTTTTGTTCCTTTATATGCTGATACTGAAACAGGAAAGGTTCCCTTGTCCCCCTCACAGGGCATGTGATAGGGGTGTGGCTCGCTTCTTCAGTGTCCCCCTGCTCAAACCTCTAGGGAAGCATACAGACGGGCAGGCTGTGGGGCTCCAACCGTACAACAGTGTCTAGGGGTGAGTGTTTACAGCCCGAAGCCCCAGTGGGCATGTGTTACAGGGTGCTTTTAGTTTAGCCATCCATGGGCGGCTTGTGTTAATCAGCTCAATTTCTCAGACCCCCTTCCTTATCACAAGGACAGACGGCTTTCTGCATCCCAGGGTTTCTTGCCTTGGTGTACCGGAAGAATCCGATCACACATAGGCTTGGAGAATGAGCGCAAGGTTTTATTGAGTAGAAGTAGCTCTCCGCCGATGGGGCAGTCAGAAGGGAGATGGTTGTCCCCTGGAGTTGGGCCACTCGGGGGCATCCGGCTCTCTTCCGACTCTCTTCCGACTGCCCCCACCAAACTCCACCTCGTGCCACCGGTGGATGCCCTGCCAGTGTGCCAGCATCCGTCAGTGTCCTCTTCCACTGGCAGGCTCGCCAAGGCCAGCCACTTGTGTCTTCTTCCACCTAGGTGTTCCTCACGACATCAAGCTGCTTGTGTCTCTGCCTTGCTAGGGTCTTGGGCTTTTATAGGCCCAGGATGGGGGCGTGACGGGCCAGGGTGTTCTTGGGAAATGCAACATTTGGGTGCGAAGGCAGGAGTACCTGCCCTCAGCTAGGTCCGTGGGGGTGGAACCCTAGCCAGGGACCACGCCCTCCTCTACCCGGCACTTCCCTTCCCGTACTCTGTATCATTTAAGGGGACCAGGCTCTTCCCTTCCCAGCACTCCTGTATCAATACTATAATTCTATCTTTTCGTCGTGCAAGTTTGAAAGAAGAAAGCATAAAACATTTTGATTTAACTCCCGTGTTCTACTGGTTCTCTTGCTGATGGAAGTTAGATTTGCTTCTATTGGAACCTAAGTTCCCACAGGTAATACAGTACGCTTGAAGAAAAGTTTCCCACCAGATTAATTTATCAAAACTGAGTTATTCACAGTAATAAAGTTTTAAGGAAAAGGCTTAGGCATGTCGAATCCCACCTTAACACGAAGCTTGTCTTGCCAAACGACCCTTATGGAAACACAAAACCGCAAGCCTGAAACTTCTGTCAAAGCACTGTGAACCACAGTCGGCTTTTGGAGACCAGGGAATTTGAAAAGTCAGAATGACAGATTCATACCACCTGGTCAGTCCGATTATTTTTAAATCCAGCCCAGGATTATAATTAGTGATACATACAGCAGAGAGATTCTCTAAAGAGGCATAATGACCCAGGGGGGCCAGTGAATCAGTCCTGGGATTGAATCCTGCAGCTCTGTCACAGGCTAGATGGGATATTGTTATGACTTATGTCAATTTGGTTTTTCAGAATTATGTAGTTACTTTACAAAATACTATTAACTTTCAGTTAGTTAGAAGAGGGTGAGAATTTTTTTTTCTTTTTCTTTTGCCTATCGCAAGCTATCAGGTGGCATGTTACAATGAAAAAATCTCAGATCAAATCTAAGAGACATTAAATATTTATCATTAAGTAGGCAATAAAACATTCACTCTTCCTATTATATAAACTCAATGAAACCCTGGTCTCTGAACTTGTAGCTAGATATAACAGTACATTGCCTAAAATTTTTACCAAGATAGCTGCCAGTTTAGGCTAATGAAAGAACTTAGTTTTGTTTTGCTTTGCTTTTTTCCAAGAGTCCTAAGTGGCCAAAAGCAGAACGGAGAGTCCCAAGCGTCATTTTGAATCATAGATGTAATTAAGCTCATTCCATTCCTACACTCTACTCATGCAAGGCCAGCTGCGCTCCTGAAATGGGAAAAGTTCCCTATCCTCCTTGCAGGGCCGGTGGTGGGGGTGCGGCTTGCTTCTTTGGTGCCTGGCAGCTCAAACCTCTAGGGGGAACATGCAGACAGGCAGGTTGTGGTTGCGGGCTCCAACCAACCCCATGGCAGTGTCTAGGGGTGAATGTTTACAGTTCCTGAAGCCCCGGTGGGTGTCTGTTACAGTGTGTTCTTTTCGTTTTGCCATCTGTAGGCAGCTTGTGTTAATCTGTTCAAATAGATCATGGGCCTTACTGCAAGAACAGAGGGCTTTCTGTATCCCAGGGTTCTTGACTTGGTGTACCTGAAAAATTGGATCACGTGTGGCCTTGGATAATAAGTCCAAGGTTTCATAGAATGGTGGAAGTAGCTCTCAGCAGGTGGATGGGGAGCCAGAAGAAGCATGGAGTAAGAAGGTGGTTTTCCCCTGGGGTTGGGCTGCTCAGTGGCCAGATTCTCCTCCAATGGCCCCGGCCAAATTCCCCTTGGCGCCACGTCATTCGCCTGTCTGCTGGTGTCTGCTGGTGCCTGTTGGTGGCTCTTCTGCTCCTCTGCTCCTCTCCACGTCCAGCTGCCTGTGTGCTCTTCTGCTGGTGTGTTCCTCTTGACGTCCAGCCACTTGTGTCTGTGCCTGCTAGGGTCTTGGAGTTTTTAGACACACAGGATGTGGGAAGTGGCAGGCCAGGGTGGTCTTGGAAAATGCAACATTTGGGCATGAAAACAAGAGTGCCTGTCCTCACCTACATCCGTGGGCACAGGCCCAAGGGTGGAGCTGTCGCCAGGGACCCCACCATTCTCTTCTTAGCACTTCCCTGCCCCCTACCGTATTTCTCCCATGGTATTTCCAGCCCATTCCCCTATCTTAAACACCAACTTTTTCACCGATGAACCGTAACTTCTAGCATTTCTGTTATTTAACAACCATTCAATATTTTGGAAAGATAAAGACAGCTATAAATTAGAAACAGTCTATTCTGGAGCTTGGGCTTCTGTTTGTATGTTGCTGTTATTTTAGGGTTTTGTTCTTATTTTTTTCCAAATGTTAACTAAGCGAGTACTTTTTGAGTCACTCAGTGTGTATATTTCTGATTAGAATACTTAAAATATTAACTAATTGCTCCTATGATGTAAACTGAAATAAATACATATCTCTCTCTTATTTTGTTTGGGCTTTTTAACAAAATACCATGGACTGGGTGGTTATAAACAAGAGAGATTTCTCACAGTTGGAGGCCAGGAAGTCTAGGATGAAGGTTCTAGCTGACTTGGTGTCTGGTGAAGGCCCACTTCCTCATAGAGAGCTGTGTTCTTACTCAAGCTCATGTAGCACAGGGAGCTAGTTAGTCCTCTGTGGTCTCTTTTATAAGGTCATTAGTCCCAGTTATGAAGGCTCTGTCTTCATGACCTAATCACCTCCCAAAGGCCTTATCTCCTAATACTATCATTTTGGGGATTAGTATTTTAATATATAAATTTGAAGGGGACAGACATTCAAACCACAGCAATGTCATACTGTCAAGTTTGAGGTATTTTAAATTAAACATAAATTATAGACATTATAACAATTTTAAAGTAAATACATGAAATTTAAATAAATAAATATGTTACTACTACTACTAATAATAAATATGTTACTAATAACTAATAACATCCTCACTGACATCTGTTATTTTCTGACATTTCAATAGTAGTCATCCTGATTGGTGTGAGATGGTATCTCACTGTGGTTTGGAATTGCATTTCTCCAGTGATGTTGAGCATTTTTTCATGTGCTTGTTGTCCACATGTATGTCTTCTTTTGAAAAGTATCTGTTCATGTCCGTTGCCCACTTTTTAATGGGGTTGTTTGTTTTTCAGTAGTAAATTTGGGTCACAAGCTCCCTGAGCATCAGTTTCTTTATCTTTCATTGTTTTAAATGTCCAGTGAAAATAGACTGCAAAAGTATATTAGATAGGAAGTAACCTATCTTTTTGCTCTTTTTCTACTATTCTAAGGGAGCTAGCAGTCAGCTTGCTCCCATGAAATATCTGGCTACGTTCCAGATACACAAAGTAGATAACAGGAAAGTAAGCATTTATCACTTATTGAGTACCTGCGGTCTGCCATTCCCTCTGGTCCTCCTCACAAACCCACGATTACAGGCATTGCGGCACCCCTCTTTTCTAAGAACAATCCTCATCCTGTGCACCACGCCTGTCCTGAACCCATGTCAGAGGATCTCCTCTTTTAGGATAAAAATTGTTCAAGGTGGAGGGGAGAAACATTCTTTGGAAGTTTCAGAATTTAACTACAGTGACTAAAGGTGACTATTGCCTCCAGTCCATTGTGGCATGAGGCAAGGGCTGTATTAGTCACCATTAGCCAAGAGTAACAGAATTAGGAGGTAAACACTGTTCTTGTTTGTTTGTTGTTTGTTTGTTTGAGATGGAGTTTTCGCTCTTGTTACCCAGGCTGGAGGGCAGTGGCGCAATCTCGGCTCACTGCAACCCCCGCCTCAAGAGATTCTCCTGCCTCAGCCTCCTGAGTAGCTGGGATTACAGGCACCTACCACCATGCCCGGCTAATTTTTTTATTTTTAGTAGAGATGGGGTTTCACTATGTTGGCCAGGCTGGTCTTGAACTTCTGACCTCGTGATCTGCCCACCTTGGCATTCCAAAGTGCTGGGATTACAGGCGTGAGCCACCGTGCCTGGATGCTAATATAGTCCAACACAACTAGAGAGTGTTCTAGAACTCAATTCAAGCCATGATCCCACTTCTGTGGAGATACAATAAATGGCTTGCAAACCATTTTATGGTTTTTACTCGTTTAGGGAATGCTGATGTCTGGTGTTAATAGAATTTTTTAAAGTTTAAAAGGATGAGGTATCACTCAGTAATTTAATGTTACCTTTATCAAGTGAGATGCAGTTAAAATAGGCACACAAAAAAGGAAGAGAAAAAAATGAAGTGGGCTTTAAGAGTGGACATACCTGCTTATACTCTTACCTTGGTACTAAGGAATGACTTAGACCCTGGAAAGACAAGAACCCAATATTAATATATTTTGACTAGTTGTTTCCAGGCCCTGTATATAAAAAAAATAATTTTTTGTTTCCAGAAAACCCCTACATTAGATTTAATGTTTAACAATGTATGCATTATAGAGATTATGCAATTATCTGAGATTGGAGAAAGACTAAGTAAATCAAGGGAAACCCCAAGGAAGTGTATAAAAGGTTTTCATGCCAGAAAGTACCCCAAACTTTTTATAAAGTGTTTCTTTTCCTTCTAAGATTAGTTTCACATCTTCTTATCCTCAGGGTTACATAGGAG